>NC_000017.11:4127474-4278989 GCF_000001405.40 Homo sapiens | reverse complement strand
GGCTTTTGTATTTTTCAATGGTTGGCTTGTTTATCTTAATTTTAATTTATTTTTGTGATTAAATGTATCAAATGCAAAGGTTTAAGTCCGAAGTAAAGCTAAAGTCTGTCCACCATTTATCCTGTTTTCATGTTTGATATCTCTGGTTTCTAGAAAAAATTTAGATGTGCTTTCAGATCTCCTTATTATAACCAGAAGTGCTCCCCTTTACTACCAGATATACCATGCAGTCTAAAAATTATTCCTATTTTCACCATCTTTTAAAAATCTGCTTAGGAAGTAAATGCCTCAGTAAGTACCTAAACCAATCATTAGTTGAACTAAAAGTGTAATCATTTAAAAATTGAATTAAATATACATCACACCAAAATCACTAATGTGTTCTAACAATGGGTCTATATTTCACTCATCTGTCTGATATTCAGAGTATAGTATGCTAGCTTGTCCAGCCTGCAGCCTGCGGGCCACATGTATCCCAGGACAGCTTTGAATGCAGCCCAACACAAATTGGTAGAATTTCGTAAAACATCAAGATTTTTTTTTATTTTTTCTTTTTTAAGTTCATCAGCTGTGGTTAGTGTTAGTGTATTTTGTGTGGCCCAAGACAATTTGTCTTCCAGTGTGGTTCAGAGAAGCCAAAAGACTGGGCACCCCTGCTGTAGACAATCAAATGCTTAAATAAATGAGTCAGTCTTCTTTTTATTGAGATGTGCACCTAATTTTTAAATGTCATTGCCATTACACAATTTTTTTGTATTAAGGCTTTATACCATGGAAACCTGTTTCCTTAGGCCGGGCGCGGTGGCGCATGCATGTAAGCCCAGCACTTTGGGAGGCCAAGATGGGTGGATCACTTGAGGTCAGGAGTTCAAGACCAGCCTGGCCAACATGGTGAAACCCCGTCTCCACTAAAAATACAAAAAGTAGCTGGGCGTAGTGGTAGGCGCCTGTAATTCCAGCTACTTGGGAGGCTGACGCAGGAGAATCACTTGAATCCCGGAGGCAGAGGCTGCAGGAGGCAGAGGCAGTGAGCCAAGAGAGTGAGACTCCATCTCAAACAAAAAAAAAAAAATGTAAAAGATACCTGTTTCCCCAAGGCCGGCTTTGTAGACTGAATAGTCAGCAGCCTCACCTGTCTCTTCTTGAAGGCTGGCTTTTCTCACGGCTTTATCACCATGCACTTTCTGAGTATTTTTTGTGTTTTCAGTCATGTGATAGGACATAGACGTGAACGAAAACTCACTATAAACACTTGAAAAATGTATTGTCTGTCTGGGCTGAACTGAAAGTGAAATCAATTTAAGATTATTTGAAAATACATATTTATCTACATTCAAGTCCATGACCCACACATATTTTCTCAAAATGCACGGATTACTGTGGGTGCCACTTGGCCCAGGCTTTATCTCACATTTTGTTAGTGTTTATACCTTGTCCTATATAGAGATTATTAGTACCCTTATGTTCTAATTCAGCTGTGGGGTAGGAAGAATAGAGAGGAAAAGGAAACAAATTCTCCCCTTGCCACAGATGAGAACCATGGCTACTTTGTGTACCACTGGACAGGAGGACTCCGTTCTGCACCAAGGCTAGAGGGACTGTATTGGTTCTTTATTGCTACGTAACAAATTACTAAAACTTAGTGGCTTGAAACAACATTTATTATCTCATGATTTCCATGGCCATGGGATCTGGGTGTGGCTTGGTTGACTCCGGGTCTCTCATAAGGCTGTGGTCAAGGTGTTGACTCAACTGGGGTGCATCTGGTTCCAGGCACGACTGAGTTCCTCCTCACTGCCTGTTGGCTGGAGTTCTCCCTCAGTTCTGTCTACTGAAGACCTCTCCATAAGTCAATTCACAACATGGCAGTTGGCTTCATCAGAGGCAGCAAGTGAGAGAGGGTGAGCCAGGTGTGGGTAGACTGCCTTGAGGGAGGCAGTCATTCCCAAGCTTCGGGAACCTTGTCTGCTGTAAAGCACAGCTGAGTTCCCCTGTAGGAATCGCTGGTGCTTACCTGCATTCAGTGACTAGTGGATTAGACGGGTGGAGTTGGGTTGGTACAAAGGCTTGGTCAACTGGCTCTTTTGTCTTGTTTGGGAATTCTCGGGAAGGTCATTCTAACATAGTATTGACTGAGGCCTTTGTTTCAACTGCCTTGAGTTAGTTCATCTTCTCCCTTTGTCTAAGCTTGCATCCCTCACTCTTGTTTTTGAGAGCACCTCCTGACAAACCTCAAATCTCTGCCTCAGAATCCGTTTCCTAGGGAACTTGACCCAGAATAAGTACTACGGATTGCGTAACTCAGCACAGTAAGGTAGAAGGCTGCCTGCCTGCCTTACTTAGTTGCAGATGTGGGGCATGAATCTATAGTTATTTCTAACACATTTGCAAAGGCACTGTCCTCTTGGGGAAAGAAGGAACACATAGAATGCGATAGATACACTATACTGACCTGTAAAGACTGTTTGCCTAGCCAGGTAGACCAAGCATAAAACAAAGTAAGGTTAAACCACATTAAAAACTTCAGTGGAGGCCAGGGGCAGTGGCTCACGCCTGTAATCCCAGCACTTTGGGAGGCGAAGATCGGTGGGTGGGAGTTTGAGACCAACATGGCAAAACCGCTTCCTACTAAAAATACAAAAAAAAAAATTAGCCAGTACGGTGGTGTGCGACTGTAATCCCAGCTACTCGGGAGGCTGAGGCAGGAGAATCACTTCAACCTGGGAGGCGGAGATTGCACCACTGCACTCCAGCCTGGGCGACAGAGGGTAACTCTGTCTCCAAAAAAAAGGGCGGGGGGGCTTCAGTGGGAGTAGAAGCAGACCATGACTCAATTTGAGGTGGTTAGGATAGAGGTTAGAAGTAGGGCTGCTGGTGACATTGCAAGTCTCCAGAGTAGAGATGAAGATCTGTTTGGTGTAGAGAGCAGTACTTACCAGGGCAAGGACAACTTGGAGACTGCACAATTAGGGTACAGAAGGAAGAGACAGAGACTGGCTTGGTAACATGCAGGAGAGTTAGGAGAGTGAGTTCTCACAGAGAGCTCAGAAAGGAAGTTGGTGTTAGAGCTACTCACCAATCTCATGGTAGAAGACGACGAGCAGCACGGTCCCAGTGTGGGGGAAAAAGTCAGCGGATTGGTGACGGAGCAGGAGTACACTGGGTGGCTGTGTAGGGTGATTTGGAACTTTTGGAAGCATTTTTTTGTGAAGGGTAATGGGGAAAACTTAATTGGTATTGGCTGTTTTCACTTACAAGATCATTGAAACACTTAAGATCATTGAAATACTTCCCTATGATTGAAGAATTACTTTTATTTTTGTCATTAACATCAAAAAGTGGCTTCTATTTGGGAGCACATTGGTCTGTTTTATATTTTTTTAGATCTTTTTAAAAGATTAGGTTTTGTAGCCATATGGAAAATTAAAGACGACTCTAGTTTTAGAAATATTAATAAATGGAATAAGACACTCAAGTTCTTTGGAGGTAAACCATCTCCAGATTTTTAGGTTAAAAAGCAGGCATAATTCTGAGAAGATATGAGGCAAATGACAGGTGCAATTGATATAATTTCAATTAATATTGAAACATAAATTCTGCGAAATGGATATGCTTAAAATGTAAATGACTGTTGCAAGTCAGCACCATTTATTTGCAGTGTTGTGCTGGTTAATTCAGTTTCACATTTATCTTTCTGGAGAAAAGAATGACAAAACCTGCCTTTTCTGTACTGAGGCCTTGTCTCTATTTAGAATTTAGTATAACTTTTATTAAAAGGGAAGAGGGATAGATTTTCTTTTTCCTCTGCTGAAAAGGGTAATGCTGTTTAAAACTGGATCTTTGCTATTAAAAGGCTAGGTCGCCTGATTTTAGTGTTGTTTTTTTTTAAGACGGGAGTCTTGCTCTGTTGCCTAGGCTGGAGTGCAGTGGCGTCCTCCCCTGCCCTGTTCTGTTCCTTTTTTGAGACAAGGTCTCACTCTTACTGTCACTCAGGCTTCAGTGCAGTGGTACACTCATGTCTCACTGCAGCCTTGAACTCCTAGCTTCAAGTTGTCCTCCCACAGGCATGTGCCACCGTGGCTGGCTAATTATATTATTTATTGTACAGACAAGGGTCTCCTGTTGCCCAGGCTGGTCTCGAACTCCTGGTGTCTAACAATCTTCCCACCTTGGCCTCCCAAAGTGCTGGGACTACAGGCAGGAGCCACTGTGCCTGGCCATCTCTTGGGTTTCAGTGTATGTCTTTTGATTTTCTAATAAAAATATGTATGTGCATACGTGTATCTGGTGAAGGTGATATATTTGTTACTTAGTACATTTCATGCTTTGCTAAGGGCCATTTACATTGATTGGTACATGTCTTTTGGAAAGACATATAGCAGTCGTTCTACCTCTCAGGATCTTGTAGGGAGGTTGTCTAAATGGCTTTCTTTCTCCCCACAACAGAGCTTTTGGTATGGTTGCATTTGAGTGATTGTAAGATAGATCAATTTGGCCAGGCGTGGTGGCTCACGCCTCTAATCCCAGCACTTTGGGAGGCCGAGGTAGGCAGATCACGAGGTCAGAAGATCGAGACCATCCTGGCTAACACAGTGAAACCCCGTCTCTACTAAAAATACAAAAAATTAGCCGGGCATGGTGGCAGGCGCCTGTATTCCCAGCTACTCGGGAGGCTGAGGCAGGAGAATGGCGCGAACCCGGGAGGTGGAGCTTGCAGTGAGCCGAGATCGCGCCACTGCACTCCAGCCTGGGCGACAGAGCAAGACTCTGTCTCAAAAAAAAAAAAAAAAGACCATCCTGGCTAACAGGATGAAACCCCATCTGTACTAAAAATACAATAAATTAGCCGGGTGTGGTGGCGGGTGCCTGTAGATCCAGCTACTCGGGAGGCTGAGGCAGGAGAATGGCGTGAACCAGGGAGGCGGAGCTTGCAGTGAGCCGAGATCGCGCCACTGCAGCCTGGGTGACAGAGCAAGACTCCGTCTCAAAAAAAAAAATTGGTAAGTTCATATTGGGCTTTAGAAGGCATGCTGAATTTTGAACATGTCTGGTGTGAGTTAAAATTTGTCATAACTCTTTAGGTATATTTGGCTTCTCTGTGAGGAATTTAAAATTATATCCCTTGATTTCTTAGTCATCTTCTGTTTCTTTTGCCCAAAATTGTGCATGGCAATGGATTCAGAGTTTCTGAGTTCTTTGGAACACTTGACCTAAAGATGCAGTCCTAATAGGTGTTTCCTTTTCTGCTGTCCTTGGCGCCCCCACCCACCCCCCTTTCAAAGCACATATTAATATAATAAAGACTCTGAAAAGTCTAATAGTCAAATGAGACTTTTAAAGCTTTAACCACTGGGTGCAGTAGCACATGCCTGTAATCCCAACACTTTGGGAGGCCGAGGTGGCAGCGTTGCTTGAGCCTGTAGTTCAAGACCAGCCTGGGTGACGTGGTGAGGACCCTGTTTCTACAAAAAAAAATTAAAAATTATCTGGGCATGGTGGTGTGTGCCTGTGGTCCCAGCTGCTTGGGAGGCTGAGGTGTGAAGATCACTTGAGCCCAGAGGCTGCAGTGAGCCATGTTCATGCCACTACACTCCAGCATGAGGGACAGAGTGGGACCCTGTCTCAAATAAATAACAAACAAAAACTTCAACCTAGTGTTTTTCTAACTTTTTGAACAGGAAACTCAGCCATTTATTGGCTATGTGAACTTGTCTCAGCTTTAGAGGGGAGACTCCTTCATAATGATGATTGTGAGCATTCAGGAAATGAGTTTGTAAAGCGCTTAGCATGCTGCTTGGCACATCAGAACTCGATGAGGCGGTGCTGCTTTTTATGTAGATGTGTTCTTGACTTACAGTCTAACTGGATGATACGAGGCCAACAGATTTGAAACACTTAGAAACTGTGGTTGGGATGGAGGGTCATTTGTGGCAGGCTTTGTGGAGAAAATGGGTTTGAAGGGAGCTATAGTGAGTTAGATAGAATTTAGCAAGTTGGGAAGTGTGGCAATCTTAAGTTGTTTCTCTGAACATCCTCAAATGTTTGTAAATTTCCAAATCACTTGGCTTTTAAATCTTCTCTTATGGATTCTAGATTTAATATAAGTTGAAAGACATTTGAAGTATTGAAAAATCTAAATTAGCGCTGTCCAGTAGAACGTTCTGTGATGATAAGGATACAGCTGTGCTGTTCAGCTTGCCAGTCACTAGCCACATGTGACTACTGAGCACGTGAAATGTGCTTAGCATGACTCAGGAACTAAATTGTAAATTGTACTTAATGGCAATTAATTTACATTTAAAATTAAATATACCCACGTGGCTGTGAGCTACCATAATAGATAGAAACAAAGTGAGCTCAGAATGAAATTAAGGATTTGTTGTCAAATAAATCTAATATGGATAAAACCTACTTACAGTTAATTCTTTTGTAATTGATGAATTGACTATATAATGTTGTTTTTGTTGTTGTAGGTCTCCAATTGAGAAACATGGCACTGTTTTTCCTGCACTCTACCCACCTATTGCTGGACTTCTGTTGTACAAGTTGGCAAACACTGGCTGGAACTGGGCTGCAATAAAACATGCCAGTTATCAATGCTGACAAGAGCCTAACAAGTGCCAACTTACAGATGATTACGCATTTTGAATTCTAATGAACTGTTTTAACCTTCAGGAAGAATTGTAAAGACCTGTACATAGCACAACATGATCCGGATAATATATATACTGTTCATGTACATCCACAAATACACCTTGTACCAAATAATGCTTTCTTGTAGTAGAATAAGAATCGTGTAAATTCTAAGAGATTTTAGCAGGTTTTCTTTCCTATTCATTGTTTCTTATCAGTTTAAAAGGATTCCTTTAAGCATGTCAGATGAAAAGCAATTAGGATTAAAAGTTTCCATTTAATTTCCCTTAAACCCTTGAGGCTTCATTAAACTCTTTTCACTTACTAAACTTTTGTATCTTCTTTGTTTTGACACACTCCCCTTTGCTTTTATCTCTTACCTGCCAGAATGTTCTCAAATGATTTAGTTCAAATACTGAAATACTTAATGAGCAATTACTTGATTTTTAATGATGACTTCGAAGGAGTCATCACTAGGTGCTTTGTCCTTTTTGTATTCTAGTTGCACCCACCTCTTGGATTGGATATAGCAATAACATTTATTGGCCGTTGTGAGCTCTTGATCCCAGTCATTACCCCTGAGAACTAAAAATAGATGGTTCTTAATTCAACTTACTGAAAATTTCCCCAAACAATAGCAAATCTGACTTTTCCCTCTTCAGTTGCCTGGTATTAAGGTTGGATAAATGAAGCATGCACAGCTACAGGCTTTCTACTTAACTTCTGGGTTTGCTATTACAAATCCTATTTACTCTCATACCCTTCTCCTTAGTCCTTCATATTTCTCTGCCTCTATTCTTCTATACTGCAGATTTTTCTCACCTATTGTACAAAGAAATTGCGATGTATATTTTCATGTAATTTGATTTTGGAATTCTGTCACCTTATGTAGTGAGTTCTTCCAAAATATAATTTTTTTTCAATAATTGTCAAGTTGTTGGCTTTTATTGTATTGAATGAAGGCTATAATACTGAGTGCCAGAGAAGTGGTTTAGGAAAATCTCAGGTTGATTCCTTATGCAAATGAACTTTTAATACTTGAAAATCACATGGCCATGGCAGTATATGTATTTGGTTCTATCTAGATTCTTCTGTGAATCTAAAAGCATTACAGGGGTAAATGCTTTGCTATTTGACGTATAGATCCCGTCACTAACAATAGTACACTTGGATGTGATTAATGTTTGAGCTTCAATATATTTCATATCATACAGTTTTCTAAAACAACTTCAGCAAATGGTAAAATGAACATGTGCAGTGTTAAAGGCAGGCCTTAGGCTCCTTCATGTTTGTTGTGAGGTTGTGTGTGGGAAGTAGTCTTTGGCTTATAAGGGATAGAACTTGAGACAGTAGCAGATGGGACATGGTGTTTGATTGTGAGAATCAGTGAGAATTCGTGCATCTCTGCTCTGTGGGGTTTGGAGAAATGCTTTGGCAGAAGAGTGAAAGAACTCCTGCCAAGAGCCCAGACCTCTACAAACGTTGTATGTCCTTTTTTAAGCAGAAATAAAATGGTTGAGGATGTAGTCACAGTAGAGAGTGATTTTTTTCTAAGTCCCTGTCCTCTACTCTGAAGCGTTATAAAAACCTGTAAACATTATACAAACCCACAAACCTTATAGAAACTCGTAAGTGTGTTGTGACTGGAAATTGATTCATTAGAACCCAGTTTTCTTTAAGAACTTTGTGACTTGGTTTTTTTTTTCCTTTTCCAAAGACTGTAAAAATAGTTGCCCCAAAATGTCAGCACTGCACACCCTCCAGGGACTTGGAATACAATCCTTTTTACTTTTTTTTTTTTTTTTTTAAGAAACTGGGTCTCTCTGTCACCCAGGCTGGAGTGCAGTGGCAACGATCATAGCTAACTGCAGCTTTGACCTCCTGGGCTCAAGTGATCCTCCTGCCTCAGCCTCCTGAGTAGCTAGGACTACAGGTGTATGCCACCATGCCTGGCTAATACAAAAAAATTCTTTTAAGAGATGGGATCCCTCCCTTTTAAAATCAGAACTTGTTCACATGGTGGTTGCTTGTGGCAAAACGGAGTTCAAATTTTGCTCTCCTATTGCTATAATTCTGCTAGCAATCTGTTGAGGTGAAACTTGGGATCTGACTCTTCAGCAAGCAGCAAATGACCTAGTAACTCAGGGACAACTATTTTTGAACTTTAAGTGCCACTTTAATGCAGTTAGTTTGATAAAACCATGTGGGTTTTTTTTTTAGGGCTAGCTCTACGGGAGTGGAAGTGAGAGCCAGGCATGAGTGCGTCTCCACATGCTTTTCCACCTGCCCTGAGTGTGTTACATACTGAAACAGGCCTACATAGATGTTACAACTTCCCTTCCTCTGTCGGAGATGTCATCTGTGCCTTTCTCAGTGTTCATCTGATAATGTAAATTTAAATGCCTCTACATTTGATACGAAACCCACATTCAGGTGACACTGAACGAGGTGGCTTTTGTCCCACCAGTGCCTCATCAGTGTGAGGCGATTCCTCTCTGCTTTAGGAAAATGATTTTTCCCCCTAAACTTGTGCCAACCATCAACAACATCTCCATAGATCTTATGGATTGTAGAACTGTTGGCTGTTTCCTAAATTTATTCCAAGTTCTCGTAGAGGCATATAGATTTCAGTCTGTGCTTGTATGGGATAGATGATCTGAGTGGCTTTCTGGCCTCTTTTTTGAGTTTAAAATCCATATGAGGTTGACGTGTCATACTAAGGTAACATGTTTGTGAGGTTATTCCACTAGTACTGTGATCACGTGGGTGTCAGTATCTTTAACGGCCTTCATTCTTGGTTGTGAGATTTTATTTGATATGCCCACTCACCCTCGACGAATCTGCCCGCTTTGGGCTGTGGTGCCTGTGTATCTTTGCCCGTCTGGTCTCCAGTTGGTGGAATTACCTTTTTTGTACTGCCACTTCTCAGCATCTTTGAAATTTGACATAATGTTGCTTCATTTCAGTTTTTTTAGTTCTGTAATTTGTTGATTGTATTTAACTATGTGAGTTCTGTTGTGATGTTTACTGTATTGTAAAGCACCTCATTCATGTGATGAGTGCTCTATAAATCAATAAATGATGACTTAGAGGCTGTATCACGAGCTATTTTGGTTTTAGGATGCAGGTCTCAAAAGCAAGTTGTGGGACTCTTTCTGTATAAACAGCACATGATACCAAAGGAACCACAGGGAAACCTTGTATTTTACAGACTTTAAAGAAGGAACCAGAGAAGTTAACTTGCCTTCCAACCTGATAATGATGCTCTTTAGATTTCCAGTACGTGGCCATGCACCGTTTTAACTCAGAGTTTGTGTGCACTGTGATTTATAACCTTCGAGTGAGCACTTATTAGAACATTATTGGGGATTTTGTCTTTGGCCTAAACTGGCTCTACCATAAAGGTAAGCTGAAAGGTGAGGAACCCAGACTCAAATGTGAACTGGAAGAGACTGCAGGCACCATCTCAGTCACCACCTCTGTCCTCTAAACAGACGGGAAAATGCGCCAATACCTGCCCAGGGGTCATTTAGTAAGTTACTGACAAAAGAGGCAAGACTGAGTAGAGAACCTTCTTTACAAGATACACAAGATATCAACATCCAGCTTTTTATCCTGAATCCTTACAAATAGTTCATACGGAGTTAGTGTTAGATGTTGAAAGCTTGTTTGTCCTTGATATAAATCACTAGCGACTATTAAGGGCTCTTCCTTACAAACTCGGAGAAAGGAACATGGAGTCAGACCTCTTATTCAGCTAAATTATGAACAAGAAAATCCCCCGAGAGGAGTTTTGGGAAGATGAGGGATTATTTCTAGAGTGCAAATACCCGATAAATATATTTGGAATGAACTGTTGTGGAAGGGTCTAGACAATATATATCCCCAAACTTACATCAGTTTTAGACATAATCAGCTACTCAAGGTATAGAGCCAAAACGTTTTATTTGCATGCTGCTTCCAGTGCAGATGAACAGGTTTTCGATGGTGTGTGCAAGGCACGAGGCTCCCAGGAAAGATGTGGATCTCCCGCTCCCTCTCATGGGACAGGGCTAATAACCGCCTTTCAAATTGAACCCTTTCTGCCTTGAGGAGGCCCGGAACCCTCACAGGATTCAGTTCACAGATCAAATGATTTTCTGGGTATGGTATTTCTGGTGGTTCAATTTCAGATGTGTGTAATCTGGCTGCCAACGTAGGATTAGGCTTTTTGGCTTGTGGAGTTGACACTCCTCACTGAGCTTTAGCGAAATGATGAAAGAATTTTGAATTCTGTTCACACAGGTAAATAAACTGAAGGAAAAGCCTTTCACAAAAGGGAGCCAAACACATCTTCTAAGACATAGGAGCTGCACAGAAAGTCCTAGGCAAGAAACTTGATTTTTTTCCTCTTCTCGGCAGTATGCAATATTCACAGTGACTTCCATTTATTCCCAACAAGAGCGCTGGAAATCAAGTTTTTCTATTTGTTGAGCCTCTCTTCTGTGGCAAGCTTGTGCTATGTGTTTTTCCTAAAGGTTCTAGTCACATTGTTAGAAGCAGCTTCCAAGGTAATCATTTCTCATGAGGAAACAGGCTCAGGTTAACTTGCCATCGTTGCACAGCACACAAGTTGCATGGCTGGGATTCGGTTCCACCGCCTGCCTTGCATACTGGGTGTTATTAGCCCTTCTTCACAGGTGAGGAAACCAGAGCTCACAGAGCGTGGATGTGTTGAGACCGGTGCTTGACCCAATTCATCGGACTAGCACTGGAGGTGTCCTCCTCTTCCTGCCCTGCCATGATACCGCACTGCCTCCTGAGTCTGTTCCCCTGTGCTCTTGAAGCTACGGTAGACAGCATTTATTCCCTTCCTGTTCTTCATGTTCCTTGTCTGAGACAGCACCACACTAAGTCCCTCTGAATCTGACTGCAAAACCTGAAGTGGGTCTAAAATGGACCATGCTCCAGTGCTCAGCTTTTTCAAGACGTCTGTATTTCTGGTTATAGCTAATGTTATAGCTCCATCCAAACCTGGTGGGTGCTGTAGTTTACTGAGTACTATGAGTGCTTTATTTCATAGGCTTTACTACCTTCTCTCTAACTCAGGGGTTACAGGTCAGTAAGAGTCCCCTCAAAAGACAAGGGCTGGCCGGGCGTGGTGGCTCACGCCTGTAATCCCAGCACTTTGGGAGGCCGAAGTGGGTGGGTCACGAGGTCAGGAGTTCGAGACCAGCCTGGCCAATATGGTGAAACCCCCGTCTCTACTAAGAATAAACAATTAGCTGGGCGTGGTGGCGTGTGCCTGTAATCCCAGCTACTCGGGAGGCTGAGGCAGGAGAATCGCTTGGGCCCGGGAGGCGGAGGTTGCAGTGGACCAAGATCGCACCACTGCACTCCAGCCTGGGCAACAGAGCAAGACTCCATCTCAAAAAAAAAAACCAAAAAAAAAAACAACAAAAAAAACCAGACAAGGGCCCAGGGATACCGTTAAGTCATTTCTAAGATGGGTACTTTATCCTCTGGTAGAGGGCTCCTTAGAGCGAGGTTGTGATGAGGAGGCAGTCAAGCCCCCGAGTTGATCAATCCCTTCAGGCGAGTTGTTCTTTGATCATGGCCATCCAGTCCAAGCACACTGAAACGGCACACATTTGTGTGCTACTCAAACGGAGAGGGTCTCTGGTTTTCATCAAATTCTCAAAGGGGGTCATGGCCCTCCAAATCTTTAGGAACCATGGATTCTAGTCCAAGTTCTTCGTCAAATAGGTAGAATCTGAGATGCAGCATAAGGCTTGCAAGGACTTGCCCATCATCAACACAGCAAGTAGCTGCAGAGCCAAACTTGAACTCAGGTCTCTTAATTCCCAGAATAGCACACAGTGGAAACACCTCATCAAACATTTTGAGTGCCTGCTATATTCCAGACCCTAGGCTGGTGCTGCTGAGGTAACGATAGTCATCATGCAAAATCGGGAGTCAGCTGTGACAGTACTTTACAACAACTTTCATGTTGCTTTTACGTTATGGCCCAGGCAATATTCGCAGGGTACTCCACCATAAAAAGATGAGGCTGCTTGCATCCAGAGGAGCCTGGCCTGCCTGGCCACTCTGAAGGCCCCAAAGACTCACCATTGGGCACCCCTATAAACCATTCTCAACAGACAGGGACGCTTTAAGCGATGGCCTTCCCATGGTAGGGAAAGTTCTCCCCTACCATCTTCGTGCCTTTCGTCTCCTGCCACAACAAAAAGGCTTACACGTTTCAACACCGTCTCTCATCTCCCAGGTACCTGGCAGCCAGAATTCCTACTCTTCCTCAAAAATTCAGTGCTTGACTCTATGTTCCCACGATCTAAGCTCCAAATTCCTCCTCCACTCCACCTCACTACCCACTAATGCTTATCCTTAACAGCACCTAAAGCTTCTCCAACTTTAAATCCTCCTTTTCGTTTCTGACACTCTTATTCTGTTCTCAGATTCTTCTTTTTAAATTTCTTTTCTTTTTCTTATTTAATTTTAGAGACAGAGTCTTGCTCTGTCACCCAGGCTGCAGTGCAGCGGCAGGATAGAGCTCACTGCAGTCCCAAACTCCTGGACTCAAGCAATTCTCCAGCCTCAGCCTCAGCCTCCCAAGTAGCGACAACTAAAAGCCTGCACCACCAGGTATAGCTAATTCAGATCCTTCCTTCCAACCTTTTGTCTCTTACTCCTGGCTGTCCTCCAAGGCCACCACTTTCCCTGCAATCCTGAACTATTGATGCATTCTTTTGATTCTCCCTTGAGTAAAAGTCTTTTTTGAAAGGTCTCATGCTGGGCCGGGCATGGTGGCTCATGCTTGTAATTTCAGTACTTTGCGAGGTTGGGGTGGGAGGACTGCTTGAGACTAGGAGTTCAAGACCAACCTGGCCAACAGAGACTCCATCTCTGAAAAAAAAAAAAAACAAAAAACAAGAAAGGTCTCATGCTATTCAGCTATGTTACTGTTTAGCCCTCCATTTTGCAATTGTCTTAACTAATCGTATAGTCCTCCCCACATTCACCAAAGATTTTAGCTCCTGATGCTCCTTTCCTTTCCTACCTCTAAATCCCAACATCTAATTTTCCTGCCTTCTCACTTCCACTTCAGCCACTCTATTCCGTGGCTCTGTCCTGGACTTTTTTTTTTTTTTTTTGAGACAGAGTCTCACTCTGTTGCCCAGGCTGGAGTGCAGTGGCACAATCTTGGCTCACTGCAACCTCTGCCTCCCGGGTTCAAGCGATTCTACTGCCCCAGCCTCCCGAGTAGCTGGGATTACAGGCATGCACCACCACGCCCGGCTAATTTCTGTATTTTTAGTAGAGACGGGGTTTCACCATGTTGGCCAGGCTGGTCTTGAGCTCTAGACTTCAGGTGATTCACCCTCCTCGGCCTCCCAAAGTGCTGGGATTACAGGCGTGAGCCACCACGCCCGGCCTGTCCTGGACTTTTCTCATCTCCTAGTGCTACTTCACTATGAACCTGTTTGCCACTTTAACCACCAAGCTCTCACAACATTGCCTGCACTGCACTGGCCTTCAATTATCAGAGACCTGCAGTTTCGTGGCTCCTCCATCAGTCCCTAGCCAGTCTGTATCCCACGTTTGATGGCCTGGGCTGTCGTCTCATAGCACCCTCAATTTATTTTGGGCAATGCAATCCCAAGCCCTGGATAAATGCTATAATTCAAAATATCTGCTACTGCAGCCTGGTGGCTGAGTTCTAGAAAAAAGTGATCCATCAACACATACATGAGGCACATGAAACCAGGCCTTCCAACTTCAGCGTCCTCTTCCAAAGTTTCTTTGCTCTTCTTGGTCTCCTTCCTTGTCTCATAACTTCACCCATAAAATCGATGTCATCAAACGATCTCCCTGATTTTCTTCCCCCCTATATATCTGCACGCATGTTCTTGTTTCCTACCGTTTTAGTGGAATAACAGGTGACCTGCCTCTAGTCTAAATTTAATCCGTTTTCCTGAGTTCTGCATCGCATGCAGAGCATCCTACCTCCCCAGGGACCTCTCCACTGACTCCTTTCTCCCAGCCTCTCCTTTCTTTACAAACCTAAGGACCAACAAACCCCCTCTCTCGACCCTCTCATTGCCAAGCTTCTCCAGAGTAGTCTGCATTCGTTGTGTCATCCTTTTCGGTGCCCTGCCAAGGACGTGGAATATGACAGGGCTCAGTCAGTGCTTAATAAATCTCGAGCCTCAAAAATACCCGGTAAAAAGAAACCCGGCTCTCCGCTTCCCCCAGAGTCCAGCAACCCCCTCCGCTTTCATTCACCCACTTTCCTACCCTCGGCTCCGCCTTTTGCCGCGCCTCCCGCGATTCTCGCGAGACTTGGTGATTCCGTTCCGCACCGCCCCGGTTGAGCCGCGCACTTCTCGCGAGGTTGCAGGCAGTGCCGGGCCAGACATGGCGGAAGGTAGGGTTTTTTTGTGGAGCCGCGCGGGAAGACACGGAGCTGTGGGGGCGCTGCTGGCCGTGCGAAGCTGCCGTGGGAGGGGAAGGCCGGGCGTGGTTGCATGGGGGCTCCGCGGGTCTCGCGAGCCTTCCTGTCTAGCCTCTCCGGAGCTTCTCGGGCCGGGGTCCGGAGCGCGGTTCCTATGACAACGTCCCTCCCGCGATGCCGACCCCGCGGGACTGCGGCCGGCTGCGGAGCCGGGCTGGCAGGTCCCGCGCCGGTGCTGCGTGCAGCCGCGGGGCCCCGAGGGCAGCACGGGAGGCTCTTGATTGCCGGCGGTGCCGGGACGCCGGGGGAAGTAAGCCTTCTCCTTAGGAAATCGAAACTGCTGTCCTGGCACGTTCTGCATCCGGAAGGGGTCCATCCCTCGCTTGCGGAAGAGCGTGGGTCTCCTCGGGCTGGGTTGGGGTGAGGTGGGGTGGGGTGGGGGCGAGGCAGCAGCGAGCTGGCCCACGCTTCAGGCGGGCGCACTGGCGGCTCCGGCTCTGCTGCAACCCCAGCCTTCAGGCCAGGCGTACAGATGAAGACGGGAGGAAGGGGTTTGCGGGAAGGGAGTTGGCCAAGGTCACACTGCTCACAAGAGGGCTGCTCAAACCAGACCTCTGTGCCTTTGCCTCCCCGTCCAGTGCCTACCCTCTGGTCTCGTGCACTTTTCATGACATTGCAGCTTAAGGCACTCTGGTCTCTCAGAGTCTGCCTGTCTTAATGTAGCAGTAATTAGAAGCCTTCATTGTCAAAGCCTTATTGTACACGTAGGGGGAAAGAAGGCCCAGAGACGGGGAGTTACCTGTCAGGAATCGTGCAGGGACATTGTTGGATCTGGGCAGCCTGGTTCTCCTCTTCACCCCATTATTGGAGAACAGTATTCCTTATTTGACCTTTGTTTATTGAGTGACTGCAGTGTGCTTGGCCACGACCTTTCCTGTTGGTTTTGAGCTTTGACTGAACCCATCACTTGATGGATCTTAGATTTGGGCAGCACCTGACAGTTGGTCGGCTTTTCTCATTTGCATTAGACTTCAGATAACCTCGTGAAGGAGGCCTGGCGTGTGTATTTGCCTTTATTGATAAAGGAATTTAGGCAAAGTTACAGAGATAGCTGTGACTGACACCCAGTTGGTTTTGGGGGGTGTGTGTGTGTGTTTTGAGATAGGGTCTCGCTCTGTCCCACCGGCTGGAGTACAGTGGCGCGGTCACGGCTCACTGTAGCTTCAGTCTCCTGGGCTCAAGCGATCCTTCTGCCTCAGCCTCCTGAGTAGCTGGGACCAGGGGCGCTCGCCACCACACCCGGCTAATTAAAAAGGGGTGTGTGTGTGTGTAGACAAGGTCTTGGCCCCGTGTGGTGGCTCGCGCTAGTAATTTCAGCACTTTGGGAGGCCGAGGTGGGAGGATCGCTTGAGGCCAGGAGTTCAAGAGCAGCCTGGGCAACATGGCGAAACCTCGTATCTACAAAAAATACGAAAGTTAGCCAGGTGTGGTGGCACGTGTCTGTAATTCCAGGTACTCGGGAGGATGAGGCACAAGAATCGCTTGAACCCGGAAAACGGAGGTTACAGTGAGCTGAGATCGTGCTACTGCACTCCAGCCTGGAGTGAATGGAGTGATGGCGGGTGCCTGTGGTCCTCGCAGTAATACTAGGGAGGTGGGAGGATCATTTGAATCCGGGAGGCGGAGGTTGCAGTGAACTGCACCAGCCTGGGCGACAGAGTAAGATCCTGTCTTAAAAAAGAGAGAGACTAGGTCACACTATGTCACCCAGGCTGGTCTCCCAACTCTTGGGCTCAAGCAATCCATCCGCTTTGGCCTCTCTAAGTGCTGGGGTTGCAGGTATGAGCCATCGCGCCCGGCAGGCACCCAGTTTTTGTCTTTACTTTTTCTACCATATCCCTGGAGGGGGAAACTTTAGGTGAATATTGCCTGAAGGCAGAGGAGTAAGAAAAGGAGCAAAAACCCAAGGGATTCCCTGAAGTTGCTTTTTGAGTAAATCACGGAATGTTGTACACAGCAGACAGCTGTTGCTCACAGGAGTGAGGCGGGTAGAAAGGTTCAGGAAGGTCTTCTGTGAGGTAAGGGGTAGTCTGGCGCTTTTGCACTTAGGAAGGTAAGTTCGGTGTTTTGGGAATACATTAGCAAGGTTGAGATTGTGGAGGGCTGCTGGTTTTTCATTCAGCAGCTTTACTGAGCACCTGCTGTGCTTTGCAGTCGGGTTCCAGCCCTGAGGAGCTCATACAGGCTGAGTCAGCATACTCATCATCCGGCAAGCGCCTTGAGAGACATCTCGCCAGTGGGGTGTCTCTCCATAAACACACGAAGAAGACATCCTTTCAGGGTTAAATTAGCAGGGGGATAGCTAGGTAAGCAGTCATGAAGTTCTGACTTCACAGTCTTTCTTTCCTTCCCTTCCCCTTTCCTTTTGAGGGAGTCTCGCTCTGTTGCCCAGGCGGGAGTGCAATAGCGCAATCTTGGCTCACCACAGCCTCCACCTCCTGGGTTCAAGCGATTCTTCCACCTCAGCATCCCAAGTAGCTGGGATTACAGGCACCCGCCATCATACCCGGCTAATTTTTGTAGAGATGGGGTTTCACTGTGTTGGCTAGGCTGGTCTTGAACTCCCAACCTCAGCTGATCTGCCGGCCTCGGCCTCCCAAAGTGCTGGGATTGCCGGTGTGAGCCACCACACCCGGCCGGCCACAGTTTTTCTTTTACCTCTTTTGTGTCCCAACTTTTTGTTGGGATTTAAGCTTTTTAGAAACGATGTTGCAGACTTCAACTAGGAGGCATTCTGGGTCATTTAGCTTATTAATCTGAAGGTGCTTGCTATGCAAAGGAAGGCAAGATTAGGTAGAAAATGTTTCTTGGGATATTAATACTACTGCTTGTGCTTTAATCAGATTCTCAGAGCCTGCTATGCTTGTTTGGAGACAGTTATTTAAATATAAATAAATAGCAGATATCTGTGTCATATAACTTGAATGATCTGTAAACACACTATGGGAACTTCCCTGATAATGGTTGGTTGGCCATGTGAGAATGTGGGAGATAGTGCCTAGGAATAGTAAATAGGATCGTGAGAGACTGAGGATACAGCTTCTTATGTGACTTGTTTAGAGAACAACCTTCTTTCCTTCCATCTATCCATGGCTATTCATTTGACCATATATATTTAGCTAAAGTCTGTCCTAAAATTAGTTTTATTCCCCAACTCTACATCTCTGTGGCTATCCTGCTTAATCTAAGCTTCATTTGTGGGTTTTTTTTTTTTTTTTTTTTTTTTGGAGACAGGATCTCACTCCGTCACCCAGGCTGGAGTACAATGGCGTGATCACAGCTCATTGCAATCTCCACCTCCCAGGCTCAAGTGATTCCCTCACTTCAGCCTCCCAAGTAGCTGGGAGTGCAGATGTGCATGCCACCACATTGGCTAATTTTTGTATTTTTTGTAGAGTTGGGGTTTTGTGATGTTGTCCAGGCTGGTCTTGAACTCCTGGGCTCAAGCCATTCACCTGCCTGGGCCTCCTGAAGTGCTGGGATTACAGGTGTGAGCCACCGCTCCCAGCCCTAAGCTTCGTTTGTAAGTGAACTACTTCAAAAGGTTCCAATTAAAAGTTTGCTTTTAACTTTTCCTCCTAGATTTTGCTCTCTCACAGCCTAATTTCACAGTTTCTAGTGTTCCCTTTAAGACATCAATCAGATCATGTCTCTCCTACTCTTCTTAATACTCCTGCCCCTCAATGCCCAACTCTCACACTTCTCCGTAATCTTAAAATATATTCCAGTTCTCTGTTAAGTATTAACAGGGTGTGGGCCCCACTTAACACTTCGAGCTTATTTCCTACTTTCATTCACTGTGCCCCTGCCACACTGACTTTTTTGCGTTCTTTGTGTGTGCCCGACATGCTGCTACCTCTGCGTCTTTGTCCCTGCAGTTTCCTTGGCCTGGAACAGTCCTCCGCTGTTTCTCCACACAACTGACCCACTTTATTCACTCAGTGTCTGTTCAGTTGTCATCTCATTAGAGAGCATCCCTCACTGGAATATAAACCCCATGAGGGCAGGAACTTGGTCTGTTTTGCTCACTCCTGTATCTCCCAGCTTAGAATCATGGCTGTGGTTGAAGGAATGTATGAATTTATTGAGCATCACCTGCTAGCCATCAAGAAAAGTTGCCTGGATACATCCTTAGCCTCTTGTCAAGCAAACTGGCTGGTCCACCTTTTATTATACTCTGCATAACCTAAGTCTGCTAGGAGCTACCTAACCTACTTTTCATCCAGCCCATTTTTGTTTTAGCAACTAAAATACAATGTTTAAGGCCGGGCACGGTGGCTCACGCCTGTAATCTCAGCACTTTGGGAGGCCAAGGTGGGCGGATCACTTGAGGTCAGGAGTTCCAGACCAGCCTGACCAACATGGTGGAACCCCATCTCTACTAAACATACAAAAATTAGCCAGGCATGGTGGCATGTGCCTGTAATCCCAGCTGCTCAGGAGACTTGAGTCAGGAGAATCACTTGAACCCGGAAGGTGGAGGTTGCAGTGATCCGAGATCGCGCCACCGCACTCCAGCCTGAGCAACAGAGACTGTCTCAAAAAATAATAATAATAAAATAAAATGTAGTGTTTAAGAGCTCAGACTCTGCAGCTGGACATGGATTTAAATCCTAGTTTAAGCTGTGATCATAAGCAAGTCAATTAATTGCTGTCAGTCTCAGTGTCCTCAGCTTTAAAAGGGGGATCATCTGTAGCTCACAAGTAGCTGTGGGAATCCTAGGATATTTCTCAGTTGCAGGAAGAGCCTTTTTCCACAGCGCCTAATGTTTCTTCCACAGCGACTGATGCTTTTCCCACAGCGCCTGATGCTTTCACCCTGGTGCACAGTCTTTCTCTTGAGTCTCCTCTAAAATCACTCTCCATTTCTTTTCCTCAGTAAAAGTAAAAATTGAAAAAAATGTAATTTTTTTGTAAATAGTATATTGAACAGAAAATTTATCATAAACTTTTGTTAGCTTGATGGAATTTGATCAGAAAAATACTTTTGACAACAACCCAAGCAAAATGGGGAAAACATTCCATGTCCTGGGTATTCATTGACCAACACAATAGTCACTAGCCACATGTGGCTACTTAAATTTGATTAAAATTAAATAAAATTTAAAATTAACTTCTCAGTTGTACTAGTCCTATTCCAAGTACTCAGTAGCCATGTGGCTAGTAGCTCCCCCTAATGGACAGCACAGATTAATAGAACACTTGCACCATTGCCAGAAGTGCTTTGGATAGTCCTGTTCCAGAAAATGCTTCATTAGTGGAGGCTGGTAGAAATAAGGAAAGAAGGAACTTTGCTGTTTCCACTTTTTTTTTTTTTTTTTGAGTTGGAGTCTGGCTCTGTCTCCCAGGCTGGAGTGCAGTGGTGCGATCTCGGCTCACTGCAAGCTCCCCTCCCAGGTTCACACCATTCTCCTATCTCAGCCTCCCGAGTAGCTGGGACTACAGGCGCCCGCCACCAAGCCTGGCTAATTTTTTGTATTTTTGGTAGAGATGAGGTTTCACCGTGTTAGCAAGGATGGTCTTGATCTCCTGACCTCGTGATCCGCCCGCCTCGGCCTCCCAAAGTGCTGGGATTACAGGCGTGAGCCACCGCGCCCGGCCCTACTTCTGAAATTTATCTGTTTATTGTTTTACTTATTGAACAAATGTCCCAGGTCATTGATAATTATATATAGTCCAGAGACCTCTTAAGGACTGTTCCTTTTATACCATTCTTTTCTTTTCTCTCCCTTTCCTGGTGACTACTGTCACCAGCTGTAGCTGTTAGCTTTCTCCTTGTGAATTATTTTTACTGAGAAATAAAATTTATCCATTAGTGGTTATGTCAAAGTAAAGCTACTGAATTGTGCTGAGATACACAGGATTCTGTCACTGGCAAGGTGATTTGCTGTAGGCAATTTGAGATACTATCATGATTTACAGCCTTGCTGAACCAAATGAGAAATTGCTATGTCCCCAGAATCTCCTGTTGAACCTGTGGTATTTATTGAACTCCATCTGGTAAGGTACTGTCGGGAGGAGGAGATAACCATGGAATGGGTATAGAGGGAGAAGTAATTGATAGTTAAATACGAATAGCCAGAACTAAAGCTTATTCACAGGGAGTTCTGAAGTCTAGGAGGGGAGATAAAAGAAATTGTATATGAGAAACTATATTTTAAGGTGAAGGGTAAAAAATGCTTAGGAGTTACTTTGAAAACTCAGGGAGAGATTTTTTAAGGAAGTAATGGGGAATGTATTTTGGATAATCAGGGAAAGTCTTGTTGCAGGAGACATTGCTTGAACTGAGCTTTGAAAAATGGCCCTCCTTTGGACATGGGGACATGAGATTGAGGAGAGGTCACTGTTCTAGGTGGAAGGAATTAGTGGGATGTGAAGTTGGAAGAGTATGTTAAGGGCCAGATTATTAAGGGCATTGGTTCAGCATTTGGATTTTATTCTGAGACTCATGGAGCGATACTACCGAAAGGAATCAGCCACGGTAGCGACAGAACAGGAATTGTGTGAGGCATGGCGAAATGACTGCAGTGTAGAGGATGGATTGGGAAGAAAGGAAGTCAGAGAGCAAGCTGTAGCAGTTGATGGTGAGCCATTTGGTAGAGGCTGTGGGGCTGGTGAGGACTGATGGGAGAAAGACCACAGAACGTATGAAAGACAGGACTTTTGAAACCTGGTTGAATGTTGATGAGAGAGAATCAAAGATGACTCAAGTTCTAGGTCTGGATGACTCAGACAAATGGCTGAGCTGCTAAGAGGTAGAGGAGGAATAGATTGGAGAACAAGTATTTTGACCTCACTTTTGGACATATTTGCTTTGCCCAGTATACTTCTATGTGGTGATGTCTAAGTTGGAAGTGTTTCCAGTCAGGAGTTTGGGGTGGAAATGGCTAGTTAGCTAATATTTGTTATGCATCTCTTATGAAACCAGCCCAATTGTCACTGCTATACACGGTGAGCTTTTGAAAGATGTGTAAGTCATGCCACCAACTGTAACATGAGGCAGACGAACCTAGCAGAGTTGAATTGCATTCAGGAAAAACGTATTTCACGGTAGGTGCAAGCTACTGTGCCAGAGATGACAAAATGAGCAAGACACAACCTTAACCTTAATGGAACTTGCAGAACAGAGAGGGGAAGGCAAAGTATTTCAAATAAGCATGCATGTTGCTTTCTAGTTATACCAGGTTTTCTCTTCTATATTCATGATTAATGGCACTACTTTTCAGCCAGACTCTCAAGTCAGTCACCAAAAAGTTATCTCCGACTCCCCCCAAGATCTGCATCAGTCACCAAATCCCCCGGATGCTGTACACCTCTCACATCTGTGCTTTCCTCTCTCCCTCGTTCCATTAGTACATAGTTCTCAACCTGGAGAACCCTGCACAGTACAGTTAACCTGGGAGTTTTTTCTTTTTTTGAGATGGAGTCTCGCTCTATTGCCCAGGCTGGAGTGCAGTGGTGCGATCTCAGCTCACTGCAGGCTCCACCTCCCGGGTTCACGCCGTTCTCCTGCCTCCGCCTCCTGAGTAGCTGGGACTACAGGCGCCCGCCACTGCGCCTGGCTAATTTTTTGTATTTTTAATAGAGACGGGGTTTCACTCTGTTAGCCAGGATGGTCTCGATCTCCTCAGTTCGTAATCCGCCCGCCTTGGCCTCCCAAAGTGCTGGGATTACAGGCATGAGCCACCGCGCCTGGCCACCTGGGAGCTTTTAAACATCCATATTTGTGGGCTGGGCGTGGTGCCTCACACCTGTAATCCCAGCACTTTGGGAGGCCGAGGCGGGCAGGTCACAAGATCAGGAGTTTGAGACTAGCCTGAGCAACATGGTGAAACCCCGTCTCTACTAAAAATACAAAAATTAGCCAGGCTTGGTGGTGCACTCCTGTAATCCTAGCTATTCGGGAGGCTGAGGCAGAAGAATTGCTTGAACCTGGGAAGCGGAGGTTGCAGTGAGCTGAGATCGCGCCATTGCACTCCAGCTTGGGCGACAAGAGTGAGACTCCGTTTCAAAAGAAAAAAAAAAAAGAAAAGTAGTAGTGGTGGTAATTAATCACCAGTGAAGAGCTTTTCTAATCTGATGCCAAGGAAGATAGTATTTTCTGGGAAGCTGACACTTTAATGAAATATTTTTTTGTGGAAGATCCTAATATAAGCCTGGAACAAAAAATTATTCTTGTAGTTCTCCAAATAGAATGTTATCACAGCCTTTACAATCATTTCTCTTTTATCTAATGGACATAGTTAAAGCAGAATAGGTATAAAGTCATTTAGTCATTAAAGAATTACATGAAGAGACTGGGCACGGTGGCTTATGCCTGTAATCCCAGCACTTTGGGAGGCCGAGGCCAGGGGATCACCTCAGGTCAGGAGTTCAAGACCAGCCTGGCCAACATGGCGAAATCCTGTCTCTGCTAAGAATACAAAAAAATTAGCTGGGCATGGTGGCAGGCGCCTGTAATCTCAGCTGCTTCAGGAGGCTGAGGCAGGAGGATTGCTTGAACCCGGGAGGCAGAGGTTGCCATGAGCCAAGATCACACCATTGCACTCCAGTCTGGGCGACAAGAGAAACTCTTGTCTCAAAAAAAAAAAAAAAAAAAAAGAATTACATGAAGAACACTAATTCATTGCTAAAGTTTTGGCTAGAATAGAAGAACTATAGGAGTGTAGAGAAAGGAAATGCCAGGGTGATGTGAATCTAGAAAGACTGAATACAGTGTGGGTTAGAACTGGAGTGGCTGGAGGGGAGTAGAGTGCATTTACTATAGGAAATGAAGGAGCTCATTTAATTCCTGGATTAATTAATGACTAATCTTGGTGTTCTGATACTGGAGCTGAAATCTGGCATCATGGTGTTAATGGGATGCGTTCTGGCTTAAGACCACAAATCTTGAGTCTGTCTTCTGCTAATTGTGTGATTTTAGGCAACTCACTTAAGTGAGTTTCACTGTTAGTATATTACTTTTTCAATATAGTTAGAATCTGAGATGATGAATGTGAAGAACTTAACTGCCATAGGAGACATAAAAAATATTAATTCCCACTTTCTGTCTTATTGCAAAATATTACAGGAAAGTGTACATTTCCTTTTACTCCATAGAATGATGTTGACACTAATCTAGCAAAAAGTTACTAGGGCATTAAAATCTTTTACTATACAGAATTTTTTGTTTGTAAGTATAGGTGTTTTAGTTTCATGTGGCTGCTGTAACAGATTTCCACAAGCTAGATGGCTTAAAACAACAGAAACGTGTTCTTATGATTCTGGATGACAGAAGTCTGATTGAAATCAGTATCACTGGGCTCAAATCAAGGTCTCAGTAGGGCCCTATTCCCTCTGGAGGCTCTAGGAGAAAATCTTTTTCCTGATTCTTCCACCTGCAAGAGGCTGCTGACATTCCTTGGCTATTGGCTGCATCATTCCAGTCTTCAAGGACAGCATCTTCAAATTTCTCTCTGTTCTGTGTTCACAAGACCTACTCTGAGTGGGTCAGACTCCCTCTGTGCCTTCCTTTTTTTTTTTTTTTTTTTTTTTTTTTTTTGAGATGGAGTCTCACTCTGTGGTCCAGGCTGGAGTGCAGTGGTGCGATCTTGGCTCATTGCAACCTCCGCCTCCCAGGTTCAGGCGATTCTCCTGCCTCAGCCTCCCGAGTAGCTGGGACTACAGGCGCCTGCCACCACACCTGGCTAATTTTTGTATTTTTAGTAGAGATGGGGTTTCACCGTGTTAGCCGGGATGGTCTTGATCTCCTGACCTCGTGATCTGCCTACCTTGGCTTCTCAAAGTGCTGGGATTACAGGCGTGAGCCACCGCGGCCAGCCCCTGCTCCCTCTTACAAGGATACATGAACAGTTACGTGCTGCATAATGATGTTTTGGTCAATGCAGAGACACTTAGTTGTTGTTGTTGTTGTCATATAAGGTAACATTCCCAGGTTCCAGGGATTAGGATATTAGTATCTTATGGGGGTGTCATTTTTCTGCCTGCCATGGTAGGTAAAGTCGTGTAGTTTATTAAGTCAGAAGATGTCTGAAATTCCTCTGTGTGCAGTTTCTGAATGCTCAAAGACCACGCATGCCACATGGTTCAAGATACTACCAGTGAAGTGAATAAGATGGTTTCTGGGCTCAAGAAACTTCTTCAGTGAATCAGAATGCCACATTAGGAAACTGGTACTTTTGTAGACAGTGGGGAACCAGCTGAAATTGTTTGGTTAGGTGAGCTGTGTTTTAGGAAGATTAATAACGATGTGTGTGGGATAGAATAGAGAAGTAGAAGGATGAGAAGGGCAACAGGAATGATGCTAAGGCCTCAAGGAAATGTTGGTGTGATCAGCAAGGAATAGAAAGATGTCACGGTACATCCCAGAGGAAGGAGTTTGTTGTTAGATTTATTGAGGTGTAATTGACAAACAATAAAATGTACCAATTTAAACTGTCAGTTGACAAATATATACAGTCATATAACCACCAGCACAATCATGCTAGAAGATTTCTATCACCGTAAAAAGTTCCCTTGACCTCCTTTGCAGTCAGTCCCATTCCCCTGGCTTCTGGCAATCACTGATTTGCTTTCTCTTGCTATAGTTTGCCTAGTATGGTTTGTTGTTGTTGTTGTTGTTGTTGAGATGGAGTCTGGCTCTGTCGCCCAGGCTGGAGTGCAGTGGCTTGATCTCAGCTCACTGCATCCTCTGCCTCCTGGGTTCAAGCGATTCTCCTGCCTCAGCCTCCCAAGTAGCTGGGATTACAAGTGTGTGCCACCCTGGTCCGGCTAATTTTTGTATTTTTAGTACAGACAGGGTTTCACCATGTTGGCCAGGCTGGTCTCGAACTCCTGACCTCAAGTGATCCTGGTTTGCCTACTATGAAACTACACTTTCATATGGGGTCATACAGTATGTAGTCTTTTTTGCCTGGCTCCTTTCACGTAGCATATTGCTTTTGAGATACATCTGTACCTCATGTGTCTGGTATCAGTCCCTTCTGTTTTATTGCTGAGTGCTCTTCCATTATATGGATGTGTGACAGTTGTGTCTGTTTACCAGCTGGACATTCCGGTTGTTTCCAGTTGTTATGAATAAAGCTTCATTGAACATTTAAATAGAATTCTTTGTGTTTATTTTGAGGAAATAACTGGGAGTGGAATTGTTGGCCATAAGGCAAGTATATGTTTAGCTTTATAAGAAACCATCAAACTGTTTTCCAGAATGGTTATGCCATTTTGCATTTCCATTAGCAATGTATCAGGCTTCTAGCTTCTAGTTCTCCAATTTTTTTTTTGTTTGTTTGTTTTTTGTTACCCAGGCTGGGGTGCAGTGGTATGATCATAGCTCACTGCAGCCTCGAACTCCTGGGCTCAAGCAGTCCTTCCATCTCAGCCTCTCAAGTGGCTAGGACTGCAGGTGCACACCACCACACTTGGCTAATTTTTAAAATTTTTTTGTGGAGACGGGGGTCTCACTCTGTTGCCCAGCTGTTCTCAAACTCCTAGCTTCAAGCTGTTCTCCCGCCTCAGCCTTCCAAACTTTTGGGATTATAGGTGTGAACCACTGCGCTTGGCCTAGTTCTCCAGATCTTTGCCATAACTTTTTAATTTTAGCCATACTAGTAGGTGTGTAGTGGTATTTCATTGTGATTTCAATTTGCATCTTAATTACTAATGATGCACATCTTTTCATGTGCTTATTTACTGTACATTTATCTTGTTTGGTGAACTCTCCAGTTTTTTTGCTCTTTTTTATCGGGTTGTCTTATTGAGCTGTAAGAGTTCTTAATATAATCTGTATACAAGTCTTTTTTTTTTTTTTTTTTTAAGACGGAGTCTCGTTCTGTTGCCCAGGGTTGAGTGCAGTGGTATGATCTCAGCTCACTGCAACCTCTGTCTCCCGGATTCAAGTGATTCCCCTGCCTCATCCTCCCTAGTAGCTGGGACTACAGGCGCACGCCACTGCACCCAGCTAATTTTTGTGTTTTTGTAGAGACGGGGTTTTGCCATGTTGGCCAGGCTGGTCTCAAACTCCTGACCTCAAGTGATCCATCCACCTTGGCCTCCCAAAGTGCTGGGATTACAGGCTGGGAATGAGGCGTTTTTTGTTGGATGTTTTGCACATATTTTCTCCCAGTCTGTGGCTTGCCTTTTTATTTTTTTATGACTTTTCAAGAACAGTTTTTAAAATTTGGTAAAGTCAAATTTAGCCATGTTTCTTCTGTAATTTTTTTTTAACAGTTTATCTTTGTTTAATCTGAGGTCACTAAGATTTTTGCTATGTTTTAGTCTGGAAGTTCTGTAGTTTTTGTTTTTTTTTTTTTTAATTTTTATTTAATTTTTAAAAATTTTACCTGTCAATGATTTGAAGCTCATTTTTAAAAATTGTTTTCTTTTTGTTTTTGTTTTTAAAGAGACAGGAAGATGGGGTTTCCCAGGCTGGAGTGCAGTGGCTATTCACAGATGTGATCATAGTGCTTTATAGCCTCAAACTCCTGAGCTCAAGTGATCCTTCCTCCCCAGCCTCCTGAGTAGCTGGGACTTCATCTGACTCTAGAAGGGCTACAGTTTTAACCCTTACGTTTAGATATGTGATTTTGAGTTAGTTTTTATATGTAGTGGTGTCTAGGAATAGGGATTTGCGTTTTCATATGGATCTCCAATTGTTCTGGTCCCATTGTTCTTTCCTCATTGAAATGCCTTCACACCATTGTCAGATCATTTGTATAAGTCAAAGTCTATTCCTGGATTCTGTTATTTTCCATTGCTCTGGATATCTATCTTGATGCCAGTTTGATGCTGTCCTATTTACTGTAGCTTTATACACAGCCTTGAGTCAGGTAAATGCTAAACCTTTTTCTTTCCCCTGCCCAGAATTTTTTTGGCTATTCTAGGAACTTTGCATTTCCACCCAAATTTTAGAATCAGCTGTCTGTGGTTATGCATGCATGTAATCCCAGCAGTTTAAAAGACCAAAGTGGGAGGATCCCTTGAGGCCAGGAGTTCAAGACCAGCTTGGGCGCCATACTGAGACCCTGTCTCTACAAAAAAATTGGCCAGATGTGGTGGTGCTCACCTGTAGTTCTAGCTGTTTGAGCCTAGGAGTTCGAGGCTGCAGTGAGTTATGATCAGGACACTGCACCCCAGCCTGGGTGACAGAGGGAGACCCTGTTTCTAAGAAAAAAAAATTAGAATCATTCTTTCAAATTCTACAAACACAGTTTGCTGGGATTTTTATTGGGAAGGTATTGGATCTATAGACCAATTTGGAGAGACCTGACATCTTAACAATATTGAGCTATTGAGCCTTCCAATCCATGAGCGTAGTATATAACTCTCTGTTTATTTAGGTTGCCTTTCATTTCTGTCAGCAGTGTTTTTATAGTTTCAGTGTGCATGCATTGCACATTTTGTTAAGTTTATCTCTAAATATTTTGTATGTTTGGTATACTATTAAAAATGCATTATCATAGCCCGTACATTGGTAACCTAGAGCTTTGATAACATGAAATGAAGTAGGAAGAAGACTTTGATTTGAGGAAGATATGAAGTTTGATTTTGGACTTGTCGAGTTTATAGTAGCAGTCAGTCATTCTTTCAGCAGGAGCTGTTGAAGGAAAGAGAGATTTGGGTCCATTTTTATAGCAGTGACAGTAAAGTATGGGTATGCATGAGACCATGTTCAGGGAAGAAAATTTAGAAAAAGTTCAGATGTAGGTCTGCACCTTGCAGCACTGTGCCGTTTTAGAAAGTGGGTAGTCAGAATAGGAGGTGAAGGGTCTGTAACAAGGTTAGGAAGAAAGCTAGAGTACAGAGTTAGGAAGCCAAAACAAGAGTTTTAAGAATGGGGTGGTTGAGAGTCGGAGGCTACAGAGAGGTTGAGGAGCTTGAAGAATAAGGAAAAGGTCATCAAAGTGGGTGATTTGATCATTGTGACTATTTAGTAGAGTGATGTGGGTTGAAGCCAAGTTTCAGAAGGTTAGGGAGGTAAGGCAGGAAGTAGTGACCAAAGAGGACTCTTAAGAAATGGGTGGAGAAGGCAAAGTGTATGATAGACTGCGCAGTCAAGAGCATAACTGTGGAGAAGAGATGTTTGTCTAGGGGTGGGAGGCATTACTGTGAGCCTGTTTCTGAGGGTGAGGAGGTAAGCTTGGAGACAGGCATATCTTGAAGATGCAGTGGCTGCTGTTGTGGATTAGAGTTTGGTAAGAAGTGAGAGGTTACAGAATTCTAGGTGTTCCAGATAGATAAACTGCTTTCTTCCCTTTTCATTTGGCTCTGGCTGTCATTTTAACGTTCTAATTCTTTAAAATCACCAGCAGGGGGACAGGGCTTGTATGGCCTCTCAGCCAAATCTGACCTGAGACCTGTCGACTTGTTTTTATGCAGTCCTTAAGCTAAGAATTTATTTATATGTTATAGATGTAACATATAAAAATAACTTATAAATATTAACTATATTTTAAATATTTTAACCTGGTTGAAGAAAAATCAAAACAATGTATCATGATGTGAAAATTATATGAAATTCCATTTTCAGTGTTCATAAATAAAGTATTTTTAGGGAAACAGCCACATTCATTAATTTGTACTTTTGTGTTCCAACTGGCAGAGTTGAGTAGTGCCCCAGAGACTGTATGGCTCCCAAAGCCTAAAATATTTGCTATGTGGCCCTGTACGGAAAGTATGCCAACTCCTGACCTAGAAGGAAGAGTGTTCTAAAAATCATTCTTGGTTTCTCTTCTGACTGTGCCATATAACTTCTGAAGAGGTAATTTGCTGATTAACTACTTTTTTGCAGTAGACATTGCACTCTTTATTTTAGGCTATTTGTAATGAATGAAGATTTTTTTGTCTTAAGCATGTTTTGTTAACTCAAGAGTGATGAACTATCAGAAAGAATACTTATTGAAAGTCTGATCATAGACTGCACTCATGGAGAACAGATAGGTATTATTTGGAAAGAAATATGAGAAAATTGGAAGTTTCTGGCATTCTTCACTGATACTTAGCGTAGCTTTTTTGGTGAAACTCTAGGTTTTATCTATTATTTAAATTTCTAGGTTTGCTCTCCTCTCCTCTCTCCTCTCCTTTTTTGAGACAGAGTCTTGCTCTGTCACCCAGGCTGGAATGCAGTGGCATCATCTCTGGGACTACAGGCATGCGCCACCATGCCCGGCTAATTAAATTTCTAGGCTTGCTTTTCAAATGAAAGTTGGAAGGGGACAAAGAAAAAACCACGGCTGAAAACTGGTCACTTGATGAAGAATAAGTAGGCAGAGGAGTAGCAGCAGCGGTAAGCCTTACTAAACCAGACACTGTTCCGAGTGATTTAACCTATCCTAATGACTTTACACGTACTTCTCTGACAGTGGTCCCCAATCTTTTTGGCACCAGAGACTGGTTTCGTGGAAGACAGTTTGTCCATAGATGGGGTAGGGAAGGGAGTAGTTTCAGGATGAAACTGTTCCACCTCAGATCATCAGGCACTGGAGTCTCATAAGGAGCATGCAACCTAGATCCCTCGCATGCGCGGTTCACAGGAGGGTTCACGCTCCTGTGAGAATCTAATGCTGCTGCTGATCTCACAGGAGGCGGAGCTCAGGTGGTCATGCTGACTCGCCCGCAGCTCACCTCCTGCTGGGTGTGGCCCAGTTCCTAACATGCCACAAACTAGTACCCGTCCACGGCCTGGAGGTCGGGGACACCTGCTCTAAGATAGTATCATTAGTCTCATTTTCCATGTGAGAAGACTGAAGCACAGAGAGGAAGTAAGTAACTTGCCCAAGGTCACACAGCTAGTAAATGGGTAAGCTGGGGTCAAACCCAGTCAGTGAGACTCTGGAATGCGAGCTCTGGGCTATCAGTGTGCAGGGAGAATCTTGCAACACAGGACTGACTACCCCGGGTTGCCTTTCTAAGAATTGTAATAATAGCTAATATATTTTGACCACCTACTGCAGAGCAGGTTGTATTCTAAGGTTATTACATGTATTAGTACTTTCAGTGTTTACAACATCCTTGCAGGTGAAGAGAATGAGTCACCTGCCTAAGGTGTATCAAAACTAGGCAGTAGTGGGGCTGGGCTTGATCCCAGTCAGTCTGGCCCTAGAACCTGCACACTGTAAATTCTCTCTCCATTTTGCTCAGAATAATGTTGTACTTTTTCTTGTAAGAACTGTACAGCTTGGTGACACTTCAAGGACACATTTGCATTGCTGTTTGTAAGCAGACAGTATTCCCCACGGGCTGGTAATGTCTCAGCCATAAGCACTCCTCCATTATACTGTGAAATGGTATGGCAATTGAAGTAGCGCTGGTAAGTGCTCATAAGCTGCCTGAGTGCATTAGTGATCCTTTGGGTTTCCCCCGACAAAAGCTGCCGGGTGGGGGAGCATCTGTAATTTTGTGACTAAGAGCCCCAAATCATGCTAAAGCCCTCCTTTTATCTAGCTTCTTCTCTGCTCATTACCTTGGTAGTTTATATCTTGTGTCATTGTCCAGGCAGCTGCTACATATTTGAATCAGGAATTCTGTAGAGAGACTGGGGCTGTTGCTGTAGATTTTGGAATTTATGTGTATAACTGATATTTAAGGAAATGTGTATGGTTTCCTAGAGAGCAGAGAGGGGGAAGATGGCTGAAACAGAGCTTTCAGGATCTCCTCCATTTGAAGGCTTAGATAGAGGAATCAGCAACTTTGCAGTCATTTTTTTTTCTTTTTCTTTTTCTCTCTTTTTTTTTTTTAAGACAGGGTCTCTCTCTGTCACCCAGGCTGGAGTCAGTGGTGCGATCTCAGCTCACCACAACCTCTACGTCCTACCAGGCTCAAGCGAGCCTTCTGCCTCAGCCTCCTGAGTAGCTGGGACTACCGGTGCCCACTACCACCCCTGGCTCATTTTTGTATTTTTTTGTAGAGACGGGGTTTCACCATGTTGCCCAGGCTGGTCTCAAACTCATGGGCTTTAGAGATCCTCCTGCCTGGGACCCACAAAGTGCTGGGATTACAGGTGTGAAACACCACACCCAGCCTAGATTGCCCTTTTAACTCTTAAAAGAGGCACCTCCTAATCTGCCAAAATGCTTAATGCATAAATATTTGCAGATCAACAGTTTAAGTGAAATGGAAATGGAAATTCCCCAGCCAGCTATAGTCATGCTGGGTTGGAGGTCTTGAGGAGCAAAAGATTTAGGTTGGCTAGAATATGGTGTGATTGAAACCAAGGTTAGAGGGTTCAGGTTGCTTATGGAAGAAAAGGTTACCACTGTGGAAACTTGGGGGCTGTCTCTTGGCAAGTGGGATATAATTTTGTAGCCACCAGGTTGAACTAGCAAGATGTGGTATATACTATAGCCATCCTTTTCAGCTGACTTGCATAGCATCTGGTGAGTGGCTGATACTATTGTCAGTGAACTCTTGGAGGAGAGGGCGAGGCTTGGGCTCATAATTATTTGTATTTCTCGTAGAGAAATATACTGTGTTTATGTACTTTGTCTGTTTGACAAATCTGTTGACTGATACAAGCTTAAAAGGAGAATCTGACCAAGAAAATAAAAGATCGAAACCTTCTCTTGCATTTTCTGGGTCCAGTATGCTACAAACAAATACAGGCTTTATTTAAATCTTTTGAAGTAAGATACTACTTTTCTGGAACATTTTCTTTACACTAGCTTAAACCAGGAGGTCTCCTGCCACACTCCATTTGTATCCCCTATCAGAGTGCTCTCAGGGTTTACTGCGTTGGCTTAATTGCCTGTCTTCTCTATTACTCATAATTTTTTTTCTTTGGTTGTTTTTTGTTGTTGTTGTTTGTTTTTTGAGACGGACTGTCCTCTGTCACCCAGGCTGGAGTGCAGTGGCACGATCTTGGCTCACTGCAACCTTCACCTCCTGGGTTCCAGCGATTCTTCTGCCTCAGCCTCCTGAGTGGCTGGGACTACAGTTGTGTGCCACCACACCCAGATAATTTTTGTATTTTTAGTAGAGATGGGGTTTCACCATATTGGCCAGACTGATCTTGAACTGACCTCATGATCTGCCCGCCTCAGCCTCCCAAAGTGCTGGGATTACAGGCATGAGCCACCAGACCTGGCTGGTTGTTTTTTTTTTTTTTTTTTTGAGACAGGGTCTTGCTCTGTTGTCCAGGCTGGAGTACAGTGGCACAATCTCGGCTCTTTGCAGCCTGAACCTCCTAGGCTCAAGGGGATCCTCCTGCCTCAGCCTCCCAAGTATGGACACCTCTGGTCCTAGCTACTCTGGAGGCAGAGGCAGGTGGGTCGCTTGAGCCTGGGAGTGCAAGACAACGTAGCCCTGGCAACATAGCAAGGCCCATCTCTCCAAAAAACTTAAAAATTTATAGCCAGGTGTGATGGCACACACTTGTGGTCCCAGGTACTAGGGAGGCTGTCAGGAGGATCACTTGAGCCCAGGAGTTTGAGACCAGGCCTGGCAACATAGTGATACCCCATCTCTACAGAAAGTTTAAAATGTAGCCAGGCATGGTGGTAAGCACCTGTAGTCCTAGCTACTCTCGAGGCTGAGGTGGGAAGATCACTTGAGTTCAGGAGTTTCAGGAGTTTGAGTTCAGGAGTTTGAGGCTGTGATGAGCTAGGATTGTGCCACTGCGCTCCAGGCTGAGTGACAGAGACCCTATTTCTTTAAAAAGAAAAAGAAAAGATTGGGAAAGGATGCAGGGAAGCACGTGAAAGAGACAGAGAACCAGAATCAGAGGATGGTATTGTGGTTGCTGGAGTAAGAGAAGGGATGGACAACAGTGCAATGTGGTGTCAGAGGTCTAGGAGGAGAACCACTGGCAGGAGTCCATTGGACTTGGCAACTAGAGGGTCATAGGTGAGAGGAGTTTCAAGGGGATGGTGGGGACAGAAGAGGGAATGGCAGGTGAGACAGTGGTGTATGGTAGCTAGAGATGGCGGGGCTGAGGATTTCAGATGTGATGTGGAAGTGGGATGCTTTAATAGATAAGAGACTTAAACTGGCTCGTATGCTGACTAGCAGGACCCAGGTGAAAGAGAGACTGGAGTTCGGAGATGGGGTGGTTGATGATAAAGAAAGGTCCTGAGGATCGAGGAGAGCGATCAGATTTAGGGAGCACATGGGGGATTAAACTTGGGTAGGAAGGAGATACCCTTTCTGAGGAAGCAAAGGGGAGATGGGAATCATTGCTGGGATGGTGGGAGTTATTGGCAGTAGCTCAGTTTTCTCAGGGTGTTGGCATGGAATGAGGCAGGTTGGATGGGAGATGGGCTTGAGGGCAGTGTCAAGATTTGGAATGTCTGTGATGTGGAAGAGGGAGGGGTGAAGGGACCAAGGCCCGGAGGATGATTGTAGCAGCAGTGTGGAGCCGTAGAGACCTTGATTGATAAAGCTGCCAGTTTGCATGGTTGCATAAACCCCCTATCTCATCCCTTCTCAAGACTCCAGAGCTCAGGTGAAGGAGAAGTTTCATGACGGCTTCCTCAGGGAAGCCTTTCCTGACCTTTTCCATTAACTTGCTTTATAGGCTCTCATAGCTGTTTTTACCTTCTAGCTCTCTAATGTAGAGTTGTAATTTTGCATTTGACTGTTGTAATTATTTTAATTATAAATTATAACAAAAGTTATTTGACTTATGGCTGGGCATGGTAGCTCATGCCTACAATGCCAGCAGTTTGGGAGGCCAAGGTGGGTGGATCACTTGAGGCCAGGAGTCTGAGACCAGCCTGGCCAACATGGCAAAACCCTGTCTCTACTAAAAATACAAAAATTAGCTGGGCGTGGTGGTGCCCACCTGTCATCCCAGCTGCTTGGGAGGTTGAAGGAGGAGAATCGCTTGAACCCAGGAGACGGAGGTTGCAGTAAGCCAAGATTGTGCCACTGCACTCTAGCCCAGGCGACAGAGTGAGACTCTGTCTCAAAAAAAAAAAAAAAATTGTTTATCTTTGTTTTTCTCAGTAACTCAGGGCTCCAGTGACAGGTATGTCAGAGTGCACTTACCATCGTGCAGCGCCCAGCGCCTCGTGAACACTGATAAATGCTTGTTGAATTTAGTTAATCAAATACGGTGGTTCTCAACCTTTTAACCTGCCCCAGCGCACCTGCGGAAGATGGCATGCCTCCATCTGAACCATTATTGACTGCCCTGATCCTCACCTGAAGGAGGATAGGTGCCAGGGTTGGAGAGCATAGTTCATATGATTACAGACCCTGGAATAAGAATGTTGGGCTCAGATCCCAGCCCGTCCTCTCACCAGCCTTGCAACTCAGGGGAAATCTGTAACCTCCCTGTGTCCCAGTGTCCTCCTCTATAAAATGGGGCTGGTATACAGCAGTACCTACCTCATAGGCTTGTCATGAAGATGACATGAAGCTGGGCACAGTGGGATGTGCCTGTGGTCCCAGCTGTGGGAGGCTGAGGCAGGGGGAACAGTTGAGTCCAGGAGTTTGAGTCTAGCCTGGGCAACATAGTGAGACCCTCATCTGTTTAAAAAAAAAAAGAGGCTGGGCGCGGTAGCTCATGCCTGTACTCCCGACACTTTGGGAGGCCGAGGTGGGTGGATCACAAGGTCTGGAGTTTGAGACCATCCTGGCCAACATGGTGAAACCCCATCTCTACTAAAAATACAAAAAATGAGCTGGGCATGGTGGCATGTGCCTGTAGTCCCAGCTACTCAGGAGGCTGAGGCAGGAGAATCGCTTGAACCCAGGAGGCGGAGGTTGCAGTGAGCCCAGATCGCACCACTGCACTCCAGCCTCATGACAGAGCAAGACTCTGTCTCAAACAAACAAACAAACAAACAAAAAACAAAAAAAGAGAGAGAGATTAAATGAGGGAATTTATGTAAAGCATTTAGAAGAACATGTGAAAATTAGGAAATTGTTGTTACTGTTAGTGGTTTCAAAAAATCTAGGTGATTTTGGTAGCCTTTTCTCCTGGAGAATTCCTGGCTTTATGGTGAAGGATTTTGTGGGGCAAGTGCCTGTCAGCATCTTTAGGTACATCTCTTCATTGTCATATACTGTATAATATTGAGCTTCTGAGAGGAGAAATCCCTGTAACCATGATGGTCTTCCTGGTTCAGTGACCAGCACCCTGAAACAAAGCCATTCTTTTTTTTTCTTTTTAATGAATATTTAAAAACGTGGAGACAGTACGTTGCCCAGGATGGTCTCAAACTCCTGGGCTCAAGTGATTCCCCCTGCTTTGGCCTCCCAAAGTTTTGGGATTACAGGTGTGAGCCACCGTACCCAGCCGTCAAAGCCATTCTTGATCCTGTAGGACTATCACTAAGAAAGAGTGGAACGGTCAAGTGGCCAGTCACTTTGGGAGCTTTCCTGTCTATGGGATGAGGGATTAGTGAATGCCACCTGCTTTCCAGCAGCCACGGTGAACTTGATTCTTCGTTTTCCTTGCAGAGGAGGTGGCCAAGTTGGAGAAGCACTTGATGCTTCTGCGGCAGGAGTATGTCAAGCTGCAGAAGAAGCTGGCGGAGACAGAGAAGCGCTGCGCTCTCTTGGCTGCGCAGGCAAACAAGGAGAGCAGCAGCGAGTCCTTCATCAGCCGTCTGCTGGCCATCGTGGCAGACCTCTACGAGCAGGAGCAGTACAGGTGGGAGAGCTCCTAGACACAGAAGGCCCTTTGGCTTTATTCCTGGGCCACACTACAGCTTTTCTCATTCACTTTCTTCCAAAATTTATTTATCTCTAATGAGGATATTAGCAAATCGATTCCCTAGAATAGAAGCTCCTTGAGGCAAGATTTTTTTTTTTTTTTTTGAGTTGGAGTCCTGCTCTGTTACCCAGGCTGGAGTGCAGTGGTGAGATCACGGCTCATTGCAGCCTCTGCTTCCCAGGTTCAAGTGATTCTCTTGCCTCAGCCTCCCGAGTGGCTGGGACTACAGGTGCCCACCACCGTGCCCGGCTAATTTTTTATATTTTTAGTAGAGACGGGGTTTCAACATGTTAGCCAGGATGGTCTTGGTCTCCTGACCTCATGGTCCGCCTGCCTCGGCCTCCCAGAGTGCTGGGATTACAAGCGTGAGCCACCGTGCCGGGCCCGAGGCAAGATTTGTGTCTCTCGTTCACTGCTTATCTTCAGCAAAGAGTGCGGGAGTCATGGTGATAGCATTGCTAATCAAGCAGGAATTGACTTACCTGTCTAGGAATTCAGAGGGCAAAGGTCCGTTTCTCTTGAGATGATCAAAGCAAAACAGTCTTGGAACTAGTTGGAGAGTGCATCATGATGGTTGAGGTTGAACTCTGGAGTCATACAGCTTCTGTTAGAAGCTCAGGGCTGGGCACGGTGGCTCATGCCTATAATCCCAGCACTTTGGGAGGCCGAGGTGGGCAGATCACGAGGTCAGGAGATCATCCTGGCTAACATGGTGAAACCCCGTCTCTACAAAAAAATATAAAAAATTCGCCGCGCATGGTGGTGGGCACCTGTAGTCCCAGCTACTCGGGAGGCTGAGGCAGGAGAATGGCGTAAACCCGGGAGATGGAGCTTGCAGTGAGCTGAGATTGTGCCACTACACTCCAGCCTGGGCGACAGAGCGAGACTCCATCTCAAAAAAAAAAAAAAAAAAAAAAGAAGAAGAAGAAGAAGAAGCTCAGCTGGCGACTTATTAGCTATGTGACTTCAATCTATATGACATACCTCAGGTTCCTGATCTATCAAATGAAGTTACTGCTGCTACTTACCTTTGGGCTGTTGTGAGGATCAAATCAATAGATGCATGTTCAGCACTTGGAACACTGCATAGCACATAGTAAGCGCTCAGTTGTTAGCTGTCGTTTTTCTTTTTAAAACTTAAATTGTTTTCACTGGTTATAGCGGCAACAGGATGTTAGCTTTTGTTATTAAGTGAGTTTTGAGGTAGATGTTAAAGGCTGGATAGGGTTTAATAGGTAAAGACAGTGGTATTACAAGTAAGGGCAGTAACTGAGAAAAGCCTCAAAGATGAGGAAATACAGAGGATTTAGATGACAGGGAGGGGGCCAGTTTAGGGTACTTGCCCATGTAGAGGAGCAGTGAGAGGTGGGAAAAGCAGGGTAGATTGCATTAGGATGCTCAGGTGAGGAGTTTGGACTTGGTCTTCTAGGAAGTAAAGCTGTGTGTTTTCCAGTTTGGGGACTGTCATAATCAGGGTGGCGTTTTAAGAAGATTAACATGTGCCTGGGCGCAGTGGCGCATGCCTGTAATCCCAGCAGTTTGGGAGGCCGAGGCAGATGGATCACCTGAGGTCAGGAGTTTGAGACCAGCCTGACCAACAAGGTGGCACCCTGTCTCTACTAAAACTACAAAAATTAGCTGGGTGTGGTGGTGGGTGCCTGTAATCCCAGCTACTTGGGAAGCTGAGGCAGGAGAATTGCTTGAATCTGGGAGGTGGAAGTTGCAGTGAGCTGAGATTGTGCCACTGCACTCCAGCCTGGGAGACAGAGAGAGACCCTGTCTTAAAAAAATAAATAAATAAATAAATAAAGATTAACATGCTAATGTTGGCCAGGCATGGTGGCTTACGCCTGTAATCCCAGCACTTAGGAGGCCAAGGCGGGCGGGTCACCTGAGGTCAGGAGTTTAAGACCAGCCTGGCTAACATGGTGAAACCCCGTTTCTACTAAAAATAAAAAAAATTAGCTAGGTGTGGTGGCGGGCGCCTGTAATCCCAGCTACTCGAGAGGCTGAGGCAGGAGAATCGCTTGAACTCGATAGGCGGAGGTTGCAGTGAGCCGAGATTGCGCCACTGCACGGCAGCCTGGGCAACAGGGCGAGACCCTGTCTCAAAAAAAAAAAAAAAAAAGGCATGCTAATGTCATCTAGGTGAAATTGTAAAGAGAAAAGAGCAGGGTGAGCACCTGTGATGTTGCGTATAGTCCAGGACAGCAATGATGAAAGACTGAATTGGGGTGCTGGATGTGGCAAAGAAACACAGATGTGAATGTACATAAGAAGGAAGGACTTGAGCCACTAGGGGGATAGAAGCTCAGTCTACATAAGACTTAGTAAAATTTCCACATAATTATGACATTTTAAATAGATCGCTCACACCTGTAATCCCAGCACTTTGGGAGGCCGAGGCAGGTGGATCACCTGAGGTCAGGAGTTTGAGACCAGACTGACCAACATGAGGAAACCCCGTCTGTACTAAAAATACAAAAATTAGCCACATGTGGTGGCACGCGCCTGTAATCCCAGCTACTCAGGAGGTTGAGGCAGAAGAATTGCTTCAACCTGGGAGGTGGAGGTTGCAGTGAGCTGAGATTGTGCCACTGCACTCCAGCCTGGGTGATTGAGTGAGACTGTCTTAAAAAAAAAATCAAAATTTCGAGGATGCAAATAACAGTAAAATAACTCAGGATTCAAAACTGCTATCAACTTAGCCCTTTCTAAATAAAAGAATAATCTATTACATAAAAAAGGAAGTATATATTCTGAGTAAAGGATAGTTCCATAAATTGAATAGATGTAGCTTCTTGTGAAATATAATCCATCGTCTTTTTTTTCCTCTTCTTCCATGAACAAGTGAAAACTTTGTTTCTTACTGGCCCAGGGAAGCCTAATGTTTTTCTGTTACAGACACATCTCTCCTACTCTTTGAGGCTCTTTCCCATTAGAATGCCCATCATTTAGTTTCTCAATTACTTATCAATTGATTAGTAATTTTATTTTGCATTCATTGTGTTGAAGTCCTTCTAGGAGACAATGGGAATGAGACTGGGCAGTTTTCTTCCTGTCACCTTTTAGCTAGTTATGGTATGATCTTAGGACTCCCAACAAGTCTCCCTTCAGCTTCTAAAACCTGCCCTAGGCCGGGCGTGGTGGCTCACTCCTGTAATCCCAGCACTTTGGGAGGCTGAGGCAGGTGGATTGCTTGAGGCCAGGAGTTTGACACCAGCCTGGCCAAATGGCGAAACTCTGTCTCTACTAAAATTACAAAAATTAGCTGGGCGTAGCGGCACATGCCTGTAATCCCAGCCACTCAGGAGGCTGAGGCAGGAGAATTGCTTGAACCCGAAGGTGGAGGTTGCAGTGAGCTGAGGTCGTGCCACTGCACTCCAGCCTGGGGGATGGAGTGAGACCCTGTCTAAAAAAAAAACAAGGCTGGGTGTGGTGGCTCACACCTGTAATCCCAGCACTTTTTGAGAGGTTGAGTTGGGCGGATCAGGAGTTCGAGACTAGCCTGACCAACACGGTGAAACTCTGTCTCTACTAAAAATACAAAAATAGGCGGAGCGTGGTGGCGCGCACCTGTAATCCCAGCTACTCAGCAGGCCGAGGCAGGAGAATCGCTTGAACCTGGGAGGTGGAGGTTGTGGTGAGCCTGGATTGTGCCACTGTACTCCAGCCTGGGCAACAAGAGTGAACTCCATCTCAAAAAAAGAAAAAAAAAAAACCTGCTGTTTATCTAAAGAAGATTGAAACTCTATGTTATCTACAGTTAAATATCAGATAGGGAATGGAGTCTTCATAGGGGACTAAGCTGTCGAGATGTGGTAACTGAAACTGAGGAATCAGTTTCTAAAGCAGACATCTTTTACCAACGTAGGGGAAAAAATACCTTTATCCCATAACATGCATTTTGTTGAAAGATTTAAATAGTATTTTTATGTACATCTTAGTAGCCGGAATGACTGATGTGTAGGTTTTAAAATTTTTTAAGTTGAGAAATGTGGAAGAAACTGGTAGCCTTTTTTTTTTTTTTTTTTTTTTTTAAATAAATAAGAGACAGAGTCTCACTCTGTTGCCCAGGCTGGTCTCAAACTCCTAGTCCTGGCCTCCCAAAGTGCTGGGATTACAGGTGTGTGCCACTGTGCCTGGCCTACATTTCAAGTTCAGGAGAACAGTTTTGTCCCATAAGGTAGTTAAAAACGATGGCTATGTGTAGTCATTTACTGTACTCATTCTTTTACCAAACAAACCTATAGTTTTTCCTATTGAAGTGTCTGAGAAACTAACAAGAAACTCTTTGCCTCCTCTCCAGTTACAACATTCTGGTTTCCATGTTTTAAAAGGAAATACTCTTTAATTGAGTGGAATCAAGTTTTTTAAAAAAATTACTAGGTCCTTAATTGTTTCAACATAGAATCCTCATGGACTGGACTTGTTTGATTTTCTGGTTTTCATTTGTGTTTTAAAAAATTATTATTGGAAATTATTGATGAAATCCTTATCTTTATTTCCCTTTGATATGTCAGATTACAAAAGATAGAATTTTGACCTGACATTCATGAATGTGGTAGAAATTTTCTAGAAACATTCATTTTTGTAATTTTGTGGCTAAAAGTTATACTCGTGGTTGAAACAGTACAGACTGAAAATCTGTTTAAGTTATTAGGATGTAATACTTTATAAATATATATAGAATTTAAAAATTATTTGTACTTTGTAGGTAACTTCTTGTTTTCATTAAATTGTTTACACTTTGTCACAGGTTGTGCTGATACAGTTTGATGTTCTGTTTTGCATAGAGTATTCTGTTTCTTCTTTGACCATTAATAATGTTCTACTGTGTTAACAGCAGTTTGTAATAATTTGAAATAATAAATACTCTCTTAATCTTGTGATCTAATATCCATTGGTTATAGCTTGGTCTTTGATAGAACTAGAATTGCCGATACTTTCAAATGATGATTAAGTGTATTCTAGACAATACTCTTGTAGCGTAGAATGTGTCTCTGTCAAGCATTATATACAAACAATATTCTGTTTGGGTTTCCTCTTTTTTTTTTGAGACAGAGTGTTGCTCTGTTGCCCAGGCTGGAGTGCAGTAGCGCGATCTCGGCTCACTGCAACCTCTGCCTCCTGGGTTCAAGCGATTCTCTTGCCTCAGCCTCCTGACCAACTGGGATTACAGGTGCCTGCTACCATGCTTGGCTAATTTTTGTATTTTTAGTAGAGACGGGGTTTCACTATGTTAGCCAGGATGGTCTCAATCTCAACCTCGTGATCTGCCCACCTCGGCCTCCCAAAGTGCTGAGATTTCAGGTGTGAGCCCCCACGCCTGGCTTGGGTTTCCTTTTAAATGGATGGGTTAATTCATGTAATGGTATTTTTTTTTCTTTTTCTTTTTTTCCATATAGTGGTTTTTGTGTATTTAGTTTCCAAAGACTTTCCAACCTAGTAAATAATTTTAAAGTTGAATATGAAAATAAAACATATAACTACAAGCAGGATGATGACAGTGACTTTGGATTCCTGCCAGCATAGCCATACGGCATGTGTTCGTGTCAGCCTAGTGGGTCATCTTGACGTTTTTGTTAACTGCCCAGATGCTCTCCTCCAGTAGTATTTGACATTTCAGAGTTAAACATAAATATCTATTTGGGAAGATCTTTTCATATAATGGCATGTCATAATTATGGAAACATGTTTTGAAAAGAAAGCTTTTTCCTCACCCCATTTTTTATAAGTAGTTGAGTAAAAAATGGTCAATATTAGGACTGAATGTTTCTAGTGAGAACAGGAGTCCAGATACTGGGTTTCATGTTCATGACTGCTTGTTAGTTTGTTCACGGTTTTTCTGTTTAACCTTGCTTGAGCGTTACTGTGGAGCATAGTAGCACTGTAGTCTCAGAGTTGTCATCACCATCTTTAACCTTTCTGTCTTTCTCTCCCTGATGGTTTAGCTTGTTTTAGTCTATATAAAATATCCTCTACTTTTTATGTGAATATTAATCATCCTACTTAACTTGTAGGTTCACCACCGTAAGAATCCCATGAGAAGATGTATTTGAAAGCAGCGCATGCCATGTGAATTAAAGCCAGAATTTATCAATAGAAAACATTTCTAGCAACATACTATAAAGATGACTCACCAGAATTCAGTGCTAGCATATAGGAATAATTCTTCGCTGTAATTTTTTCTTTTGCAGATGTATGTTGATGAATACTCATGTGTTTATCAGCTGTGAATCCTAGCTATACCTAGTTATGATGACATTTTTCTAATATATGTGGATCTTTTTCTTCATCAGCGATCTGAAGATAAAGGTTGGGGACAGGCACATCAGTGCTCACAAGTTTGTCCTGGCAGCCCGCAGTGACAGCTGGAGTCTGGCTAACTTGTCTTCCACTAAAGAGTTGGACCTGTCAGGTGAGCCTTTGAGTGATCAGGGACACAAAACTGCTAGCGGAAGGGCTCTTGGCAGAAGGTTGTGGTGTCTCATTTTGAAATATTTGTGATTTAATGAAAGTAAAATAATTAAGCAATTGATGGCAACCATGAACTAGTTAAATAATTAATGAATCAGCAGGTTGTACTTTTAGGTACTTTGTGTACCTACCTATTTAGGAGGTAATACCTGGCTAACAAATCGTAAATATTTGAGTATCTGCAATGTCCTTATGATTTATAAAATGTAAGTGTTTTTCCGTACACTCATTTCATGAAAAAATATGCTGTAAATAAGGATTCATGTCCAGAAAAAAATTTTCCCTCAAGTCTAATAAAAAGTCCTGCTGTCAAATTGCTTAAAACTTCATGCTAGATGCCAAAGGACTTTTTTTTTCTTTTTTTTTTTTTTTGAGACAGAGTCTCACTCTGTTACCCAGGCTGGAGTGCAATAGTGATCTCGGCTCTCTGCAACCTCCACCTCCCAGGTTCAAGTGATTCTCGTGCCTCAGCCTCCCGAGTAGCTGGGATTACAGGCACCCACCACCACACCCAGCTAATTTTTGTATTTTTAGTAGAGACAGGGTTTTACCATGTTGGCCAGACTGGTCTTTATCTCCTGACCTTAGGTGGTCCACCCACCTCAGCCTCCCAAAGTGCTGGGATTACAGGTGTGAGCCACCGTGTCTGGCCAAAGTACTTTTTCTAGTTTATCAGAACTGAACTCAGAATAGTTACTCTGAAGAATAACAATATTCTTTCTTTAACATCAAAAGATGACCATTAGCCTTCAGAATTTTAATAGGTTTGGGTTACTATGTGAGATGGTGGATATGTTAATTTGCTTCACCATAGTGCTCATTTTACTATATATGTATCCCACAGCATTGTGTCGTATAGCTTAAATATACACAATACAATTTGTTTTTAAAAAAAGAATTTTAAGGCCGGGTATGGTGGCTCATGCCTGTAATCCTAGCACTTTGAGAGGCCAAGGTGGGAGGATCACTTGAGCCCAGGGAATTCAAGACTAGCCTGGGAAGACCCTGTCTCTGCAGCAAATTAAAGAAAAAATTAGCTGGACAGGATGGCATGTGCTTGTAGTCCCAGCTTGTTGGGAATCTGAGGTGGATGGATTTCTTGAGCCAAGAGTTTGAGGCCACAGTGAGCTATGATGTCACCACTGCATTCACTGCATTCCAGCCTGGGCAACAGAACAAGACCCTGTCTCAAAAAAAAAAAAAGAAAAAATTAATAGCTACATTGGCCTATTTAATGTTACTTGTTTTATGTCACATTTTTTTGTGTAGGATTGAAGCAAATAGGGTGGCAAGTAGACTTGAAAACAGTCATTTTCAAAAGTTGACCTGAAGGTTGCATTTTCATTTAGTACTTGCCTGACTGCTATTGGAAAAAAAGGGGCAAAGAGCAAAATTTTAATTTAATTCTAGTATTAATATTCATCAGAATTATATGGTGAGGAGAATAACAGGGATGTGTTCTGAGAATGTGTCATTACGTGGTTTTGTTGTGGGAGCATCATAGAGTATAGTTACACAAATCTACATGGTATAGCCTACTACACACCTAGGCTATATGGTATAGTATGTTGCTTCTAGGCTACAACCCTGTACAGCATGTTCTGTGTAACTGTACAGCATGTACAGCATGTTACTGTGCTGAATGCCATAGGCAGCAGTAACACAGTGGTAAGTATCTGTATATCTAAACATAGAAAAGTTCAGTAAAAGTACAATATTATAATTTTACGGGACCATCATCGTATCTGCAGTCTGTTGTTGACCAAACATAGTTATGCTGCTTATGACTGGACTTGCCGAAGTGATTGTGTGAATTATATCTTTGTTCAGAAGGTTTGTCAGTTGAGAAGGTACTGTTTTCCATGCGCAGTGCCAGGAACACTGAGATGATTATAACACAGTCCCTGCCATACGGAGCCCGTACTCTGCTGGAGGAAACAGGCCATTCACAAATCATTTCAGACCAGGGCTGTAAATACAGAAATGTAGTTAGCTTATATATAAGGTTGAGAACAGACTAAGTTGGGGTGATAAAGGAAGGTTTCAGAGGTGGCTAATACCTGAGTAGTGTTGTAAAGGCTAAGTAGGCATTTATCTCATGGATTAAGGGGAACATATATCAGTGTTTCCCAACTGTGAGCGAACTCTGTCTCTTTATGATAATTTCTAGGATTTAACTTGAGGTCCATAACTAAAAGTTGTAGATACAAATGCACATACACACCTACACATGTGCAGATGCCTGCATGCCAGTAACTAAAAACATTTGCCTGGGAAATAGTTTTTTACTGGGAGGGTACCAGTCCACGTGATCGAAATCTCGAGGGATAGCTTTTTTTTTTTTTAAAGCATAGTGTTTTGAAACCATGTATCTTTGACCTCATATATAACAGAATTATGAAGACCTTATAAGATCATGTAGTGTTCTTCACAAAATGTGTGATAGGATCTTGATTATATGAACAGAATGTTTATGAAGACTAGAAGGTAATAAATATATGGAAAATATTCGACTTTGTTAGAAAAAAGTTAAGAATAAGCTACCATCTTTTGAAATCTATATAATCAAACATTGGTGATCCTAGTAGCTGTGAGGCTCATGAAGGTGGTATTCTTGTACATTTGCCAGTGACGATACAAATAGGTATGACAGTTCTAGAAAGCAGTTAGGCAGCTGAGCTGTGAAATATTCCTACTTTTTTTTTTTTCTTCATTATCTGACTTCTGGGATACTGTCGTAGGTCACTCAGACAGTGTTAATGTTCCTCAGTTTTATTTTAATTGTGAAATATCGACTGCCACCAAAATGAATGAGAGTGGCAAAAACGAAACATCGCTGCTCTCTGAAACAAAACGACACAACACAGAAAATTACATCAAGGAATAAAAAGCCAATTTTAACATTGAATTAAAAAATTTTGCTTTACACTGAAATTTTTTAGTACATCCAAACGTTTAGAGCTTTAATTCAGTGCTGTCTGGCCTTAATTCAGTGCTGTCTGGCCACAAGATTGCATCACTGTGAGTCAGGAAGTTTTCTCGAGTTCAGGAAAATAGAATATTAATGTCTTTAAATGTCTCTAGACTCTCCTCCAGTTGTAAATAATAAGCGTGTTTTGATTCTACTATAAGGTTTGCTTTCAGGAGTGATCCGCTTCAAAGTAAATGGTTTTTGTGGCTTTCACAGATCAAGCACCTGTGAAGATAGCAGATAGGAGAACATGTGGCATTTTTACTTTTTATGACATTTTAATGAAATGTATCTTTGAAATGTGTTATGGGGGAGAGGTCCAAGGTGGTAGTGGCATGTGTGGGCCTGTTCCTGTTGAATTGTGTGCTTTGCCCAGCAGTCCTGCTCATTGCCTAAACCTGGGCTTGCAGTTGCTGAGACTGCCTGGGAAGCCTGTGTGTTATGTGATACCTGGAAGCACTGACACTTCATGGCAGCAATTTGAGGAAGATTGGAAATAGGTTCTTGTAAACAGGTGTATAAATAGCATAAAAGCTGTATTTTAAAGGCTCAAATGTTTTCCACACCAACAGGCTTGATAAAATCATTTAATGAATTTATTGGTGTTTTGTTTTTTCAACATTAATCCATTCATATAAAAAACATTGAGTGGTAAGCGCTTTTCAAGGTGTTAGGGATACAAAGTGTACAAAATTAAATTCTTGCTTGCATAAACTTACATCTTAGAATGTAAGAAAAACTCCACATTTTTCTTTTTGATGTTCTTGTCTAATTGATATTTCTTTCTTTCTTTTTTTTTTTTTTTTAAACAGGATTTCACTCTGTCACCCAGGCTAGAGTGCCATGGTGCAATCACGGCTCACTGCAGCCTTGACCTCCTGGCCTCAGGTGATCCTCCCACCTCAGCCTCCTGAGTATCTGGGACCACAGGTGTGTGCTACCATGCCTGTCTCATTTTTTATAGACATGAGATTTTGCCATGTTGCCCAGGCTGGTCTTGAACTCCTGGACTCAAGGAATCCTCCTGCCTTGGTCTCCCAAAGGCCTGTTGGGATTACAGGTGTGAGGCACTGCACACAGCCTTGATTATGAGAATTTTAGCATATGTTGATGAAATACAACAGGCATTATATACACTTTAAAGGTGTTTGGATATATGAATCATACCTTGTTCAAAAAAGTGAAATGTTTGTACCTGATATGATCCACTGATGAAGGCACAATCACTTCTGTAGGATTCTTTTTTTGTTTTTGAGATAGGGTCTCACTGTGTCGCCCAGGCTGGAATGCAGTGACACTATCGCGGCTCACTGAAGCCTTGAACTCCTGGGCTCAAGAGATCCTCCCACCTCAGCCTCTCAAGTAGCTGGGAGTACAGGTGTTCACCACCATCCCTGGCTAATTGTTTAATAGAGATGGGCTCTTGCTGTGTTGCCAAGGCTGGTCTCAAACTCCTGGGCTCAGATGATCCTCCTGCCTTGGCTACCCAAAGTGTTGGAATTTCAGGCATGAGCCACTCTGCCTGGCTCTTGTATAGGATTTTTGCCATTAATGCATAACCTCAATCTACTCATGAGAAAACATCAGACCCAAATTGAGGGACATTTCTCAAAATAATCAGCCAGAGTGTTTCTCAAACATGTCAAGGTTATGAAAAACAAGAATGGTTTAGGAAGTATTACAGATTGGGTGAGACTAACACTGAATGCAGTGTAGAATCCTCAGTTGGATTCTGGCCATAAAAAGGGTATTACTGGTAAAATTGGCAAAATAGGGCCTATAATTAGTTAATGGTATTGGTATTGTATGTATTACGTAGTTACCTAATTTTGATCATTGTACTATGGTTATATAAGCTGTATTAATAATAGGGGAAGATGAGTAAAGGGCATATGGGGATGCTCTGCAGCTTTTCTCAAAGTATGAAAGTATCTGAAAATGTAAACAAAGTAGAAATTTGCTTTTTTATTTCTTACTAAGGTATCTTTAAATATATGAAGTGATATGTTAATTAGCTTATAACCATTTCATAGTGCATACATATATCAAAACATGTCATACATTAACTCTATATAATTTTTGTCTGTTAAACCCTAATAAAAAAGAATAAAAGATAAAAGTTTATAAAGATACTGATTGACCAAGTGGGAAGAGAAAGAATATGACTGTTAGCTCAGCAAAGCATAACAAATCTGAGTCCACAAGGAAAGTATTATATTTACTTCTTGGTGAAGTAAAGCAATTTGCTTCTAGCAAAATGATCTGTTTATGGCCTCTCTGTAGCACTTTACCAGTAGCAGCTGACACGATGAGAGGTTCCAATGGATTAGAATGGCTGTTTTGAAGCTAGAGTTTGTTGCATACTTTCTCAAGCAAAGATCTTACAGTTCCTTGGCATAAGGGCTCAGGGTATGAGTCATTCAGCTCTCCTGGAATGTGTCCTGGATAGTGTCAAGCCATTCCAAACAGCAGAAAACATCCTCCTTTATTCCTTTTCACTCTGGTTGGGAAAGCTATCCCCTGAAGCACCATCTGGAAAGCTTGCACTCTGCAGTGGAAAGGGCATAGTTTCCCAAACTGTGTACTCGGGGAGCTGTGTGCTATTTAAATTTTTAAGAGAAGCACAGCAATATTCAACATCTGTTGGCTACTGTGTGAACTACTAGGTTAAGGCTGTTCAGTTTCAGTATTAAATCATACTGTGTTCCTTCGATGACATCCACGGGAAGTTTAGAATATGCTCACAAAAAGGAGTAAAAAAGAATATGCTCACAAATTCTTTGCTATTTCTCCCTGCAAAGGTGGATTCAAATTCTCCTCTTCAGTATAGGCTGATTCACCTCTAATGAATGGAGTGTGGTAGAAGTGGCAGCATGTGACTTGAGAGATGGCTTCATCGAAGGCACTGTGGCTTCTTCCTAGCTCTCTCTTTTGGATTGCTCATTTTGGGGGAACGTTAGCGGCCATGTCATGAGGACACTCAAACAGCCTTGTGGCCTCCTGCCAGCAGCTGAGTCCCATGCCCAAAGATTCTCTCAGAGCTCAAAATAATCTATTTTATCTGCGGTTATATTCTTTACTTAATCCTCATACTGCTTTTGGGTTTTTCTCACCAATCTTTGGTTATGTTAAGTTTGTGTTTGTGTTGGCTTATTGCAGATTTGGTTTAGGTTCATTGTTCTTTTAATTTTTATTTATATTTAGCCAATTCAATAATTTCTTTTTATCTGTATTAAATCTTTCTTTGAAATTCCTTTGAATTATTTTTTCTTTTTGAGTTGAATTACTATCTTTTATCTCATTTTCTTTTTTTTTTTTGAGACAGAGCCTCACTCTGTCACCCAGGCTGGAGTGCAGTGGTGTGATCTCAGCTCACTGCAACCTCCACCTCCTGGGCTCAAGTGATTCTCCTGCTTCAGCCTCCTGAGTAGCTGGGATTACAGGTGCCCGCCACCACGCCTGGCTAATTTTTGTATTTTTAGTAGAGATGGGGTTTTGCCACGTTGGCCATGCCGGTCTTGAACTCCTGACCTCAGGTGATCCACCCACTGCGGCCCCCCAAAGTGCTGGGATCACAGGTGTGAGCCACCATGCCTGGCCTCATTTTCTAATAAGGTTAAGACTATGACTTTTTTTTATAGTATGAATCTGACTACATTGCAAATATTTTGGTAGGTACTGTTTTCATTGTGATCAATTTCTAAATAGTCTATTGTAATAATAGCAAGTTTTTACATAGCAGTTACTATGTGGTGGTGGTGTTTTGAGTGCTTTATTATGTATTAACTCCACACAGTTAGCAAGGATTGGAGCCGGGATTTGAACCCTAGGTAGTTTGGCTGCAGAATTCGTGCCATTAACCACAGTGCCGTGCTGCCTGTCAGTTTGGTTTCTTTTTCCTCCAAATTGAGGTGTAATGGAAGTACAGTAAACTGCCCACATTAAAAGTGTGCAATTGGATAAGTTTTGACATACGAATACACCTGTGAAGCCACTGCCACAATCAACATAAACATTTCTATCCTTGCTGGGTGTGGTGGCTCACGCCTGTAATTCCAGCACTTTGGGAGGCCAAGTTGGGTGGATCACTTGAGGTCAGGAGTTTGAGACCAGCCTAGCTAACATGGCGAAACCCCATCTCTACTAAAAATACAAAAAATTAGCCGAGCATGGTGGCACATGCCTATAATCTCAGCTACTTGGGAGGCTGAGGTAGGAGATTGCTTGAACCTGGGAGGCAGAGGTTGCAGTGAGCCGAGATCGCGTCATTGCACTCCCGTCTGGACGACAGAGTGAGACTCTGTCTCAAGAAAAAAAAAAAAAACTAACAAAAAACATTTCCATCCTTAAAGCTTTCCTCATGTCTCTTTGCAATCCATCCCTTTTGCCATCCACTTCTGCAGCTAAATGCTGATCTGCTTTCAGTCATTATAGATTAGTTTGCAGTTTCTAGGCTTTTATAGAAGTGCAATCATAGAGCATAGAGTCCCTTTTGTCTGGCTTCTTTCACTTCTTTTAGCATATAGATTTTGACATTCACCCCACACCTTAGTATGTTGCTTTGTGTTTTAATTATTCATTCCTTGTTATTGAATAGTATTCCATTGTATGAAAATACCACACTTTTTTTTTGCATTTACCTGTTGATGGACATTTGTGTTCTTTCTGGGTTTTATTAGCAAGAAAATTACCTGTATTCAGTTGTGTAAGGCCTTTGTGTAGACATGTTTTTATATCTCTTGAGTAAATATCTAGGAGGGACTGTTTAATGTTAAGAAACTACCAAACTGTCTTGCAAAATGGATGTACCATTTTACATTCCCATTAGCCGTGGATATGAGAGCTCCAGGTGCTTCACATCCTGACTAACGCTTGATATAGGCAGGTTGTTTTGGTTTTTGTTTACAATTTTAGCCATTCTAATGGATACAGAGTGCATGGCAGTTTTATTTTGCATTCCCCTGATAATAATGCTGAACCTTCTTTGTGTGTTATTGACAATTTTATATTTTCTTATAAAGTATTCACATCTTTGGCCTTTTCAAAATGTGGCATTGTATTGAGTTTTGAGTATTGAGTATTAACAGTTCTGTATATAATTTAGATACAAGTCATTTGTCTGAAAGCAAGCATCCTTTGTTCTTGATCTCAGGGAGAAACAATGAGATCTTTTATCATTTTGTATAGATTAGTTGTAGGTTTTTCTTGGATACGCTTTATCAATTTGAGTATTCCTGGTTTTCTAGATAAGTTACCTGAATTGGTTTTTGAATTTTGCCAAACACTTTCTTTGACATCTATAGAAATGATTATATAATTTTTGATGAATTACAGATGTTAAACTAAGATTGCATTCCTGCTGTAAAAACCTGTTTGGTCATTATATATTACCCTTTTTTATGTATGTTGTTGGATCCTATTTGCCAATATTTTGTTAAAAATTTTACAACAGTAATCATGAGGGATATTGGTATGTAATTTTTTTTAATGTCTCTATCAGATTTTACTATTAGGGTTATATAGGCCTTATATGATCCTTCATTGTCTGTTTTCTGAAAATGTTTTCTAAGATTGATGTTATTGCTTATTTCTTGAATGTTTGATAGAATTCACCACTGAAGTAATCTAAGTCCAGAATTTGCTTTTTGGGAAGCTTTTTGAAAACAAATTTTTAAAATATGTATTTTGTATAGATATAGGTCTATTCAGATTTGTTTCTTCTGTGTCAGGTTTGGGAAGTTTTGTTTTTCAGAAATATGTCTATTTAAGTTGTTGAATTTGTTACTATGAATTTGTTTGTAGTTTTCTCCTTTTAATGTCTGTAGCAATAACTCCTTTTTCATTCTTGGGTATTGGTGATTTATGTTCTCACTCTTTTTTTCTTGATAAGTCTATAGAAGTTTGGCATTTTTATTATCTTCTCAAAGAATGAGCTTTGGCTTTGTTAATTTTCTCTGTTGGTTGTTTTCTATTTTATTGATTTCTTTTTTTTTTTTTTTGAGATGGAGTCTCGTTGTGTCGCCCAGGCTGGAGTGCAGTGGCGCTATCTCAGCTCACTGCAACCTCTGCCTCCCAGGTTCAAGCAACTCTGCAGCCTCAGCCTCCTGAGTAGCTGGGATTGCAGGCATGCGCCACCACGCCCAGCTATATTTTATTGATTTCTGTCCTTTTTTTCTTTCTTTGGATTACTTTGCTCTCCCGTTCTCCTTTTTTCTCCCTAGTTTCTCAAAGTTGTGGAACCTGAGATAATTTATTTTAGATCTTTTCTAATACAAGTATTTAAAGCTTTGAATTTCCTTCTAGCTGCGTCCTGTGAATTTTTTAGTAGCTGGGACTATAAGCGCATGCCACCACACTTGACTAATTAAAAAAAATGTTTTTTTGTAGAGACAGGGTCTCACTGTGTTGCCCTGGCTGGTCTCAAACTCTTAGCCTCAAATTATCTTCCCACCTCGGCCTCCCAAAGCTCTGGATTCACAGGCGATATCCACTATGCATAGCCTAGTTCTATCAATTCCTTAAAGGAGAGTGGTAACATCTATAATTTTAGAATTGTCTAGTTCTCCTTTTAATTTTTGTCAGTTTTTCTGCATATAATTTTTAGCCTCTATTATGTACATTTACATTTATAATTATGACTTCCTAAGGAATTGTTGCTTTTATCATTTTAAAATAATTTTTGCCAAGTTCAGTGGCTCACGCCTGTAATCCCACACTTGGAGTGGCTGAGGCAAGCGGATCCCTTGAGCCTAGGAGTTTGAGACCAGCCTGGGCAACATGGCAAAACCCCATCTCTTCCAAAAATGCAAAAAAATTAGCCAGGTGTGGTGGCACTCACCTGTGGTCCCAGTTACTTAGAAGGTTGAGGTGGGAGGATCACTTAGCCTGCAAGGCAGAGGTTGCAGTGAACTGAGATCACGCCACTGCAGTCCACCTTGGGTGACAGTGAGACCCTGTCTCAAAAAAAAATTATATAAATATATATATACACACACACCGAAGCCATAGGAGAGGAACAAAACGGGGAAACTCATCCAGTGCAGTTGCTGCTTCAAGTTTCGCCTCCCTCTCAGTTCAGCTGCTTTTGTTGACTTTTCCAAATCTTTAGGTCGTTGTTGTTTTGTACTCTGTCCAGAATTTTTAGCTATAATCAGTTAAAATGGGATGGGTTGTTCCACTGCCATAACAGAACTAGAACCTCTGTCCTTTTATTTCATTTTGACCCAGAGATTATTTAGAAATATGGTTTGAGGTTTAATTTTATTTCCAGGAGGTTATATTTAAGGATACATCCTTAAATTGACTAAAGAGGATGTTATTTATTGATAAAAATGATACTGTCTACCAAGATTTTTTAATTCTATGAAGCAAAAACTTTTCTTTTTGAGACAGAATCTCGCTCTGTCCCCCAGGCTAGAGTGCACTGATGTGATCTTGGGTCACTGCAACCTCTGCCTCCCGGCTTCAAGAGATTCTCCTACCTCAGCCTCCCGAGTAGCTGGGATTACAGGCATGCACCACTACGCTCGGCTACTTTTTGTAATTTTAGTAGAGAGGGGGTTTTGCCATAATTGGCCAGGCTGGTTTCAAACTCCTGACCTCAAGTGATCCGCCTGCCTCGGCCTCCCAGAGTTCTGGGATTACAGGTGTGAGCCACCACACCCAGCCTAAAAAGTTTTTTTTTTTAAATATAAAACAAATCCTTTAATTTTTCAAGTGTTTAAAAAAACAAGTTTATACTTAAGCCAGCCTTGAAGATAAGCACAAAATTTACCAGTTTATTTAAAAAAAAAAAAAAAACGACAACTCAAGCACCCACTCTGTGCATAGCACTATTCTAGGTGCAATAAACGGGAATCTTAACCTTAGAAATATGAGTCCACTTTCTGGAATTGTATTGTCTCCTTTTCCAGAGAGTAAAAATAAATAAAATCACCATTATTTACTACAGATCTGCCTCAAACCACTTCTGGTTCACAGAAAAGCTAATTTCCACCAAATTAAAGATGCAATGAACTCAGTTCCTGCTTTCCCAAAAACACGAAAGCAGAATTCCTTTTCACTAAAAAAAAACAAACAAACAGTTTTCCATGCAAGGGCAGTTTGCTTCTAATAAGTATTAAAAAAAATTTTTTTTCCTCTAGCTTTTCTTTAAATTTTCTTCCTCTCATATTGCCTTTTCTTGTACAAGACAAACCAGGTATCTTTTTATGCTGTTTTTCCTTTCCTAAGAAAAGTATTGCATCTTGAAGACAGGCCATTTCCAAGAGTAGTGATAAAAAATAACATTAAAAAAACTTCACCATCCTGGCTAACGCAGTGAAACCCCGTCTCTACTAAAAATACAAAAAATTAGTCGGGCGTGGTGGTGCGCACCTGTAGTCCCAGCTTCTCAGGAGGCTGAGGCGGGAGAATGGCGTGAACCCCGGGGGCAGAGCCTGCAGTGAGCCGAGATCGCGCCACTGCACTCCAGCCTGGGCGACAGCGAGACTCCGTCTCAAAAAAAAAAAAAAAAAAAAAAAAAAAACTTCAAAGGTGAGTCACTTACATCACCTTGATGAAGTAAAAAAAATAAAAAGCAGTTGGCACTAAGATAGCTACTTCCAAATATCTGTGTCTGAACAATTTTAAAAACTGTTCATTTTGTAACAATGTACCTCTAGTCCAAGGTAACTATGTTTTAAAAAATTTTGGCCAAAAAATTTACAAAAACCCTTTCAGTTCAACCTAATAAAAGTGATATCTAGAAAATATGCCACATTATTAAGTCTGTCTTAAAAAGTTCAGATTCTAAAGCATTGCTGAGGCACAGTGTTCTGGAAGACAAATGTGCTTCTGTTGGCGTGGTGTTAGATACAAAGCATCCATGACAGGCACCTTTCTCCTGATGCTGTGGGATTGCGAGAGAAGAGTCAGACGTAGGCCCCCAGGCCTGCATGAAACTGTGAGACACTGTACCAGCTGCTGAAACTTGGGCCTCTCCCCCGGATCTAAGGCCCAGCAACAGGCCATCACAGCAAATGGTTCATCAGGACAGTTGATTGGCTGGGCTATTCGGTAACCATCTTTCAGGTATGCGGCCATCTCGAAGGGGTCAGTGTCCATGTAGGGCGTCTGGCCCAGAGTCATGAGTTCCCACAGCATCACTCCAAAGGCCCCACACATCACTAGTGCTAGAAAACTCGTTATTAACCAGACTTTCAAGAGCCATCCAACAAACTGGCCTGTTTTCATTGTCCCCCAGACAGTGATAGTCCATGAGACGGCATTGTCTGTGATCTTAACTTGAAGTGTGTCATCAGTGATACAGTTCCTAGCAGCCAGGTCTTTGTGGATGACTTCCGTTCTGGCCAGGTAGCTCATTCCACAGGCAATCTGAATAGCCATGTGTACCAGGTCTTGTTGAGAAATTGCCTGTGGATTATTGGCCTCTACTAACTTGCACTGCCGTAAAAACAAGTGAAGATTCCCTCAGTTCATGTAAGGCAGTGTCACCATGGGCTTTTCTCGTATACACCCATGAGTAATAGGAAGAAGATTTCTGTGATGAAGACTTTGCAGCTTACGACTTTCAGTGAGCATCATTGTCACCTGAATTTCAGAAGCTTGATCTTTGTTTCGACCAATGCTTGTTTTTCTTTATTTGGATCTTTTTTATCTATTAAAATCCCATGGAAAATATGCCCAAGAGTACCTTCTTGGAGTACATCTTTTATTAGAGTTATCCTGTCCCTGGATATTGCTATATCCTTCACCTTGGCTTTGGCCTCCAAAAGAGTGACACTTCTCAAGTCGTTCTTCTCTATCCGCAAGGTAGGATAACCTGAGGAGCTGGTGATAGGAGTTGGATTGTTGGGTGTGTCAGCTCTCGGATACTGAGTCGTCTGGGTGGATGGCTGAGACAACCCTTGGGAACTCCTGCTGGCACTAATGCTGTCATCCAGTTCAACCCTTTTCATACTATGAAGGTGCAAAACAGCTAATATTATTGCTACGAGAAATATTACTGCACAAGAAACCCTACCCTAATATAAAACACGCGTAGAAGTGGTTGGAGCTGCGTGTCAGGGCCATTTTTGGTGCACATTTTCCTTGGTTTAAAATTTAAGACGGTAAAATTCTTTGAAGAATTGACTGTCAAGTTGAGCTGCATTAGTATCATAACTTCAGAATCTACTTTGCCAGTACAGGAAAGCTCTACCCGAAATACTGATAAAGTGCGTAGAACTTCTCCCTGAACAGAAATGTTGCCCTGGGGCAGGTCCATTGCCAAAACATTGTCCGCTTGGAATCCCAGCTTACATTCAACCTTGGACTTCGAATGCCAGGTGAAGTGCAGGAAATTTGTCTCACTGGGTACTAACAGATTAAAGGACAGAGCGTAGTGAATAATAAGGTCATTTGTCACATAATAAAGTTCTGCATCAAGACCGATCAGCCGGTGCACCTCATCCTCACTCAGGTAGAGGCTCACGCTGGGCCCCGCGGCCGCCGACTGCAGCTCCGGGGTCCGCGGGGCGGCGGGGGCGGCGGCGCCAGGCGCGGGCAGCAGGGGTAGCAGCAGCGGCGGCGGCGGGGCCTTCTGGCCGCGGGGCACCCCAGCCACGCCTCCCGGCGCCTGGCCGCCCGCCGCACCGCCGCCTACCCCTGGCCCCAGCCGCTCACAGCCCTGAGCCTAGGGCGGCTGCCCAATTCATCAAGCCGCTAGCCTGTGGCAGCCAGCAGCGGCTTCAGACCTCCAGAGCGCGCCGCCACCTCCTTGGCGGCATCGTCCGGAATAGGGGAAGCAAAAAATTTTATGTGAAGTAGATTGAGAAAACAATAGGGCTGGGCATGGTGGCTCACACCTGTAATCCCAGCACTTTGGGAGGCCACAGTGGGCAGATCACCTGAGGTCAGGAGTTCCAGACCAGCCTGACCAACATGGCGAAACCTCATCTCTACAAAAATACAAAAATTAGCTGGGTGTGATGACGCACTCCTGTAGTCTCAGCTACTTGGGAGTCTGAGGCAGGAGAATCGCTTGAATTGGGAGATGGAGGTTGCAGTGAGCCGAGAATGTGCCACTGCACTGCAGCCTGGGTAACAGAGTGAGACTCTGACCCAAATAAAAAGAAAAAAACAGTTGGAAACTCAGAGAATTTAATTAAACCAGAGTCATAATAGGAGATTCAAGACACCTTTCTCAGCTTTTTACAGATTAAAAATAGAGGATTTAAAAAACAAAGTCAGCCAGGTGCTGTGGTTTATGCCTGTAATACCAGCACTTTGGGAGGCCAAGGCAGGAGAATTGCTTAAGGCCAAGAGTTCAAGGCCAGCCTGGGCAACATGACGAAACTCTTTCTCTCCTAAAAATGCAAAAATTAGCCAGGCACAGTGGTATGTGTCTATAGTCCCGTTTACTCGGCAGGCTCAGGTGGGAGAATTGATTGAGCCTGGGAGGTCGAGGCTGTAGTAAGCTGTGATTGCACCATTGTACTCCAGCCTGGGCAACAGTGGCTCTGTCCCTAAATAAATAAAGTAAAAAACAAAGTCAGTTTACTCAGTATGTTTCATTTAATGGTTAATTGCATACAGATCAGTTTATTCCCATCCATTTCAGATGTCTTGGAAAACATTTATTTAAAATTCAAACCAAAACAAAAAACTAGGCCACATAGAAAATCCTAAAGTCTCCAAAGTGTATTTACATGCATCCTGGCCTGCAGTGAAACGAAGTCAGAAGTTTCAGTGTTATTTTACTTTTCATCCTTGAAGTCAGAGATTTTTCTGGCTTGCATGCAGGGCCTTCTGAGAGATGATTACCTCCCTCACGCAGGACTCGGAGGCCAACTGCTTTCTCTTCTGAGTCTACTCCTTTTAGAGAGAACTCGTGCTTTATGCAGTCATCTGACTTTTACAACCACTTGCTTAAGTAGATTGGAAGCAGACAGTGTGGACGATTTACCCACAAGTACCCAGTTGCAGCACACACTGTCCTTCCTGATCCTTGTTCTCTGCCTACCCTTATACCACTGGCTGCTTCGTCTGAGTCACAAAGTGAATTTATTCTCAGTGTATTTTGTAGATGAGGGGAAGAGTCACGGCAGGAGTGGGAAAGCTTGTAAATCACTTGAACCTCATTTTGTTTGAAATATCAAGCCCTCCCAGGAAATCCCTACTGAAAGTAGTTTAAAAAAGTTTTTTGATAATCTAGGTTTTTGTTTATTACTTGTACAGGTCAAGATTAACCGGGCAAGTTTGCAAATAGTATTTAAGAAACTGCTACTGTAGGGAAGGTGTTTGAGGGTGTTGGTGCTGGGGATTCTCTCAGCAGATAGGAACGAGCTGTCTTCAAGATCAGGCCATGTGAGTCTAGTAGGATGTGTTTTGGGATTTTTGGTTGCTGTGGACAAATCACATGGCCTACATTTTTTTTGTTGTTCATTACGATGACTACTGAGGTATTGAACCCAATTTACAAAGCCTGCTTAGAAATTTGGCCTACTTCCAAGATCTACTATGGTGATCTTAGACAGCTTAGCTGAAGCACCTAGGTTGTTTAAATAAATCTAATTAGTTTTCTGTCTGGTGTTAAAATGTTTTCTCTTTTAAAACATTTTAAAAGTGCTACTACTGGCCGGGCAGGGTGGCTCACGCCTGTAATCCCAGCACTTTGGGAGGCCGAAGCAGGTGGATCACCTGAGGTTAGGAGTTCAAGACCAGTCTGGCTAACATGGTGAAACCCCATCTCAACTAAAAATACAAAAAAATTAGCTGGGCATGGCAGCAGGCACATGTAATCCCAGCTACGTTGGGAGTCTGAGGCAGGAGAATCTCTTGAACCCGGGAGGCAGAGGTTGCAGTGAGCTCAGATCGCGCCACTGCACTCCAGCCTGGGTGACAAGAGCAAAACTCTGTCTCAAAAAAAAGAAAAGGTGCTATTACTATATTATTCAGTGAGAGAAAAAAGAAAAACTTTAACATAGTAACTACAATATTATCATTTTAGTGTATTTCACTTTTTCTTTTTCTTTTTCTTTTTTTTTTACTTTTAATATCTGGTTGTTTTAGGAGATGGTGAATTAACCTGGTTGCAGGTAAGTCGGGGTCTTCAAGTCCACTCACTTGACATTGCCCCCTTCAAGCTGCTCCTTCCCACTCTAGTTGGAAAGGAGAGTAATCAGAGCTAATGAGCCAATTCCTAATTATGAAGTTAATAAGGTGTTCCTGGTCCTTGTTGCACCTTTCCTAGGTAATCAAGAATCAAGTACGGTTTCTGAAACCTTAGTGAGCATCAGAATCACATAGAGGACTTGTTAGGACATGTGCTGGGCCCCATCTCTGGTTTCTCATTCAGCAGGTCTGGGGTAGGACAGAGAATCAGATTTCCAATCAGTTATCAGATGAGGCTGAATCTCCTGGCCCAGGACAACACCGTGAGAATTACTTGCGTTGACCATGATTTTAAGTATTCCTCTGACCATCACTCTTCTTATTCTGACTAATCAAGAGTTAACTCTGGTTGAAATAATAGTTTAGATATTTTATACTATGATTCTCATCCCAAGCATTTCCCCAAGTTGCTGTACAGTCTTTATTTTAACTTAAAAAGATTGCACAAATAATGCATGTTCCTTAAATAAAAATAAAGCTAAAAGTAAAATTAAGCTAAAAGAAAAATTAGTTATAAATTCCACCTGGGTTGATATTTTAGTATATATCCTTCCAATCTCTTGAGAGACAGACACAGAAAAATGTGTGTCTGCCTCTCTATGTGTGTAGTGTGTAGTGTGTGTAGGTATTATATATATATGTATGCATGCATACACACACAGGTGTATCTTAACAAAAAGCAAGACCTATTTTTTTTTCTTTTTCTTTTTGAGACAGGGTCTTGCTCTGCCACCCATGCTGGAGTGCAGTGGTGCAGTCACGGCTCAGTACTGCCTCAACCTCCCGGCTCAATTTCTCTTCCCACATTGGCCCCTTGAGTAGCTGGGACTACAGACACATGCCGCCACTAATGGCATGTGCCCAGCTAATTTTTATATTTTTTGGTTTTATTTTGTTTAATTTTTTTCTTCTGTAGTTTTTGGGGAACAGGCAGTGTTTGGTTACATGGCTAAGTTCTTTAGTGGTGATTTCTGAGATTTTGGTGTAATTTTTGAATTTTTGTAAAGACAGAGGGTTTCACCATGTTGCTCACACTGGTCTTGAATTCCTGGGCTCAAGCCATCCGCCCACCTTGGCCTCCCAAAGCATTGAGATTACAGGCGTGAGCCACTGTACCCAGCCAATGAGATCTTATACAAGTATTTTTAGCCTACTTTTCAAAAAGCCTATGTAGTAAATATCTTATGTTGAATATATATCTATCTAGTTTTCATTGCATTTGTTCAGTGTGTATGTATATTGTAATTTATTTAATTAGTTCTCCATTGTTGGACTCTTACGATTTTTGTTCTAGTTCTTCATTAATAATATTGTGCTGAGCATCTTAGTACATTTTTCTTTATCTGTCCAGTTATTTTCTTTGGATAATGTCTACATATGTAGTTGCTGTGTGAAAGGTTATGTTCTTTAAAAAATCTTTGCTAGTCTGAGAGATAAAAAAATGTACTCTGATTTCAGTTTGTATTTGGTTATCAGTAAGGTTTACTAGCCATTATTTATCTTTGTGAATTACCTATTTGTATCCATTGCCCATTTTTCCATTGGGTATCCGTCTTTTTATTTTTATTTGTAAGGTCTTTTTATCATAAAGAATGTTAACTCAGGCTGGGTGAAGCGGCTCACGCCTGTAATCCTAATGCTTTAGGAGGCCGAGGCAGTTGGATTCTTTGAGCCCAGGATTTCGAGACCAGCCTGGGCAACATGGTGAAACCGTCTCTGCAAAAAATACAAAAATTAACCTGGTATGCTAGCATGCACCTGCGGTCCCAGCTACTCGGGAGGCTGAGGTGTAAGGACCACTTGAGCCCAGGGAGTTCGAGGCTTCAGTGAGGCATGATTGTGCCACTGCATTCCAGCCTGGGTGACGTAGTGAGACCCTGTCTCAAAAAGAAAAAAAAAATAATGTTAATTCTTTGTCATATGTTTCAAATATTTTCCCCAATTTATTCGACATATCTTTAGTAGGTTTATTTCCTCACTCACTGCCCACTGCGAAAGTTTAGTCAGATGTTGCCCAGACTGCTGAGTCACCTTTTTTTTGAGACGGAGTCTCCCTCTGTCACCCAGGCTGGAGTGCAGTGGCTCAATCTCTGCTCACTGCAACCTCCGTCTCCCGGGTTCAAGCGATTCTCCTGCCTCAGCCCGAGTAGCTGGGATTACAGGTGCACGCCACCAGGCCCGGCTAATTTTTTTTGTATTTTTAGTAGACATGGGGTTTCAGCATGTTGGTCAGGCTGGTCTCGAACTCCTGACTTCGTGATCTGCCCGCCTCAGCCTCCCAAAGTGCTGGGATTACAGGCGTGAGCCACTGCACCCGGCCGAGTCCCCATTTTTAATGACTGTGTAATATTCCTTTAAGTTGGGTATACTGTCATTTACTTTATTAGCCTCAAATTTTAGGGATCCCTTGAGAAAGTCTAAGCATGTCATTCTATGCTTTTTCAGTTGTTCTCTCTTTCTTTAACCAGATGCTAATCCTGAGGTGACGATGACAATGCTTCGCTGGATCTATACAGATGAGCTGGAGTTCAGAGAGGATGATGTGTTCCTGACTGAACTGATGAAACTAGCAAATCGGTTTCAGCTACAGCTCCTCAGGGAGAGGCAAGTCACAGCAGATATATTCAAGCACCTCAGATGGTGGTGGCTGAGCTTTAATTATGCCGAGCTCTGGGAAAACAGCTTCTTCTGCTAATGTAAATAACTTGGCAAGGTGTTCCTTTAAAGGCGATGCTGGGGACAGATGTTACCTCCCTTGCTTTGTGTTATCTTGTAGCTAAATTTTGCTAAAGCTTTTGCTATTCTCTTTTCTTTCACTGGTCTGTTACCTGAAATTACATAATCGTATAAACTGAAAAATTAAATATGAAATAATATAATCCAATGTCCAAACTTTCAGCTTTCCTTCCCTTTCTGTTTCCCTTGACATTTTACTCTATTTTCTGATATATCAAGTTGAATGAAATCCTTAGTCATAGTCTCTTTGTTGGAAACAATGAGTGCCTAAATGAATATGTGAAAATATTGTCCAAATAAGTGTCATAGCCAGTGTTCCAGAGATCTCACTTCATTTAAGTTACTGCATTTTAGGTTGTCAAGGAGATAGCATGCTGTGTTTTTATATTACATTTTCTCTGTTGCTCTCCCAAGTTGGCATTTTAGAACAACAGAAAACAAAACGTTCACTAAATAATGTCAGACGAGATGTCCGGGAGCGTCTTTCTATTGGAGCTGTGGCTCTTGGTAATCAGCTTGCTGATGGAGTGGCTTTTTACAGCATTTAGTGATCTTTGTATTCCCTTGGGTGCATAAAGTAATGGCTTTTCTCCTGGGTGAGTGAAGGGATGGTTTCAGTCATCAGGAGGCACTCCACCTATTGCTGTGTTTTCCCTAGAGAGACTTTGCTGCCTAGAGCTGCTTGCTGTTTTCGTCATGGGCTGGTGTTTTCCCAGGAGGGCTCACTGTGCCCCACATGAAATCAGTGGACGGCTTACTCCTGTCTGTTATTGATGTGGGTTTGAGTGCATTTTAATATCTAAATCCTATAAATAAAAAACAAAAGCAGGTCCACAGTCTATAGGTGCATACAGCATTAGGCTATTAGCAAAGCTGATTTGATTATTGAGGACATTCAGTTAACTGTTTCTTTCATTTGTTTGTTTGTTTGTTTTGGTGAGGAGTTTTGGTGATAGTGAAATCAGACTGATTTTAATTAGATTGAGTATGATTTATGTCTTTATATGTTTTCCAGACTTCCTGAGCTTTCTCCTGTTGACCTTGTCAGACTTGCTTATGTAAATTAAATTGCTTTTGTAAAAATGTCTTGGGGTTGGAGTAGTTGAGATAATTGTAATCTGTGTAATGGATTCTTTAATTAAACTGTTTGTTGTTTGTTGACCGAGTAGGCTTCATAACTGTCAACATTACCAGATGCTTAATTTTGTATTGTTAGATATGAGTATCGAGTTATTATCTGTCATGGCTTTCTTAAGAGCTGGAGTGGAAGACACCGGGAGTGGAGTCAAGGGTTGGCTTTTAAAGGGTCACAGAGTGCCCCCTGCTGTCCTTGGAAGGAATTACATGCTTGAGATAATGAAAGGGTGCTAGCGACGGGTGCGGTTCAGTGTGAAGCAGCCGTTGCTCTTTTTGTAATGTGGGGATCTCGCCGGTTTTGGAATGCTAGCACTGATTTGATGAAAAGGAAGTTTTTATAGTAAGCATCAGGAAAATCTTTTCTTTTTTTTTCTACCACGGAGGGCACACTGAAGAAAATACTCTTAATTTTTTTTTTTTTTTTTTAGAAGACAGCCTCACTGTGTCACCCTGGCTGGAGTGCAATGGCACAGTCTTGGCTCACTGCAACCTCCGCCTCCCGATTCAAGCGATTCTCCTGCCTCAGCCTCCTGAGTAGCTGGGATTACAGACGACTGCCACCACGCCCAGCTAATTTTTGTATTTTTAGTAGAGACGGGGTTTTGCCATGTTGGCCAGGTTAGTCTCAAACTCCTAGCCTCAGGTGATCCGCCCGCCTCAGCCTCCCAAAGTGCTGGGATTACAGGCGTGACCTACCGTGCCTGGCTAATCTTTTTAAAGAGATAATTAATGTATACTAAAAAAAGACAGTTAATCTTTTTCTCCTTACAAAAGTATAATACATGTTCGGTGTATGATATTTGGAGGATACAGAATGATATAAAGAAAAAAGTCATTTGTAACTAAATCATTGTTTACCTTCTGTCATTTTTCTTTTCAATAATTTTTTTTTCCCACATCCACTCAAGAGTGATATGAAAACTATACAGCAGTTTGTGGGACGTTTAAATATATGCTTGATGTTATACTTTAAAAGTCACCAACATGGTGAAACCCAGTCTCTACTAAAAATACAAAAAAATTAGCCAGGCGTGGTGGCGGGCACCTGTAATCCCAGCTACTCAGGAGGCTGAGGCAGGAGAATCGCTTGAACCTGGGAGGTGGAGGTTGTGGTGAGCCTGGATTGAGCCTTGTTGCTCCAGCCTGGGCAATATGAGTGAAAGTCCATCTCAAAAAAAAAAAAAAAAAAAGTTAGGTTTATCGTTTTTGTATCTCTGTGTCCTTTCTGTACTCTAAAGTTAAAAATAATAATTAAAAAATTCCCTTCGGGTGAAAGTCTGTCTGTCTTGCTATTTTCAAAGAGAATATAGGAACCGAGAATCTTAATTTCTAAATAAGATTACGTGTTCCTTGGTTGCGTAAATCATGTCAGTTACTATTTATAATCTATCCAAATGGCAAATGGCACTCTGGAGATCCTAGAATTGGTGACAGTGAAATGTCTGCCAGCTTTAATAAAAGATCTGCTTTCGTGAAACATATTTGAGTCCCTTGGTGCAATGTCATTTGACAGTGAAAAGGAGGAGAGTGGAATTTTCAGGTTCTCAGCAAATGCTGTAAAGGTGCTTTGTAAAGTGCTCTGCAAATGTGAGTTATTACTTCCTGAGATCATACTGTGTATTAGGCTGCCTGGTGTTAGGATGTTAGGAAGGCAGATTGAATATTAGTTGTAAAAATGGTAAAAGCTTCTGAAAGCTATCTGAAAAGAGGTTTTTTTCTGCTGGAATGCTCTGATTTCATGGCTGAGGTTAGAGTGACTTTGTCAGACATTGCTGTGGTGTGCTACAGGTTTGGAGAAACCAATGGTACAGAAAACTGAGGCTTAGAAATATAATGCTGTTGACTGGGTGTGATGGCTCACACCTGTAATCCCAGCACTTTGGGAGGCCGAGGTGGGTGGATCCCGAAGTCAGGAGATCGAGACCATCCTGGCTAACATGGTGAAACCTCATCTCTACTAAAAATACAAAAAATTAGCTGGGCGTGGTGGCAGGCGCTTTTAGTCCCAGCTACACGGGAGGCAGAGGCAGGAGACAGGAGAATCGCATGAACCTGGGAGGCGGAGGTTGCAGTGAGCCGAGATCGTACCACTGCACTCCAGCCTGGGCGACAAAGTAAGACTTCATCTTGGAAAAAAAAAAAAAAAAGAAATAAATATAATGCTGTTGTATGTAACTTACATTCTTGTTTATTATTGTAACTTAACTTACTAATGTAACTTACTTAGATATTGTAACAACATGATTTTTAAAGTGCCCTGGGAGAGATGCTTCCTTACACCAAGTCAGTAATGTTAATTAAAAACAAAGCACCCAGTCTGCCATGGTGAAACCCCGTCCCTACTAATAATACAAAAATTAGCCGGTCGTGGTGGCGGGCGCCTATAATCCCAGCTACTCTGGAGGCTGAGGCAGGAGAATCACTTGAACCCAGGAGGCGGAGGTTGCAGTGAGCCGAGATCATGCCACTGCACTCCAGCCTGGGCGACAGAGCACACTCTGTCTCAAAAAAAACCCAAAGCTTTGACAGATCTTAGTGTAAAGCAGGTGCCTGCATTTACTGCTAAACAGAGAAATGACTCCAAGATTTTATTCTTGCTCCTAGCCTCTCCTTCGTGATGTTTTGAAAGTGTGTTGTGAGGTGGGGTGCGGTGGCTCACGCCTGTAATCCCAGCACTTTGGGAGGCTGAGGCGGGCGGGTCATGAGGTCAGAAGATCGAGACCATCCTGGCTAACATGGGGAAACCCCGTCTCTACTAAAAAAAAAAATACAAAAATTAGCTGGGTGTGGCGGCACATGCCTGTAATCCCAGCTATTCTGGAGGCTGAGGCAGGAGAATCGCTTGAACCTGGGAGGCGGAGGTTGCAGTGAGCCAAGATCATGTCACTGCACTCCAGCCTGGCGACAAAGGTAGACTCCGTCTCAAAAAAAAAAAAAAAAAAAGTGTGTTCTGCATTCTGCCCAGGTCTTTCTCATGACCTTCCTTCTTTCTTCTGCCATCACCCATTCCCATGGTCTTTTTCTACGTCTGTTACCTAAAGCCCATCTGTTAAGATTGGGAATTATCTGCTAGCTAGTTATGGTTAACAGTACTGAAATCCACTAATGTGGATTATTAAAATTAAGTGATTTCCTTTTGTGATTTTTCCTTAGTAAAGGAATTTCAGGTTTTAGAGACGAGAACGGCTAGTAGAGGGACCTCAAACTTCCGAGCATATTTACTACATACCTCAAGCTGTGCTGAGTGTAACTAGTTCTCCTCCATCTTGACAAACACACAAGTATTCCTCAAATATCTGAAGTAGAGTAACATCTTTATTTTATAGAGGAGGAGAGAGGGGCACAGAGAGCTCAAGTAATTTGGCCCCTAAAATGTAATGGGTCTCCACTCAGGTCTTTTTTACCTCATTGTTTATCTTGCTCTGTCCACCACATTCTGCCTTTGTGGTTAGAAAAGAGTTTTGGTGGAGGCTGCTGGCAGGGAAAACAATGGTGGATGTCAGGAAATCTCGTGAAACCATACTAGTCGTCTGTGACTGCCCTTGGAGGTGAACCTGATTTGGAGGGAGCAGTGGAGGCGAGGGAGGTGAAGGGCTGTTCCCTGGCCACCTTTTCCCCATGGGCCTGGTCTCATGGGAGACTCCCTAAGGCTTCCAGGAATTCTGGCATAGAGGAAGTGTGGTCTTTCCAATGCCATATCTTCCAGACTACAATGTGGTCCTGCTTTTGCTACCAGAGACCTATTTGCCTGCCTTCAGCTCTCTCTTCTCTGATGTAGTTGATGTTTTTTGTTTGTTTGTTTGTTTGTTTTTGTTTTGTTTTTTTTTTGAGACAGAGTCTCTGTCTGTCATCTAGGCAGGCGTACAGTGGTGCGATCACGGTTCACCGCAGCCTTGAACTCCTGGGCTCTTACCGCAGCCTTGAACTCCTGGGCTCTTACTTCAGCCTCCTGAGTAGCTGGGACTACAGGCACATGCTACCATGCCTGCCTAATTTCTCAATTGTTTTGGTAGAGACAGGGTCTTGCTGTGTTGCCCAGGCTGGTCTTGAACTCGTGGCCACAAGTACTCCTCCTGCCTTGGCCTCCCAGAGTGCTGGGATTACAGGTGTGAGCCTTTGCACCTGGCCGTGTTTCCTTATTAATGATTCTGAAAGAGTCTTGTTTTTATTATTATGCGGCTTTATGAGGACATCCATTGTAGCCAGTTTTTCTCTATTTTGGTGTACTGTGGTTTTGTTGTTACAGTAGAAATCTGATTTTTTTGGTGTGGGGGGTGTACTATGATTTGGCTATTTTTTCTAATTTTTTTTTTTTTTTGAGACGAGTCTTGCTCTGTCACCCAGGCTTGAGTGCAGTGGCACCGTCTCAGCTCACTGCAACCTCTGCCTCCCGGGTTCACGTGATTCTTGTGCCTCAGCCTCCCCAGTATCTGGGACTACAGGCAGCCCAGCTAATTTGTTTTTGTATTTGTAGTAAAGACGGGGTTTCGCTATGTTGCCCAGGCTGGTCACGACCTCCTGAGCTCAGGCAATCTGCCCGCCTTGGCTTCTGAAAGAGCTAGGATTATAGGTGTGAGCCACCACACCTGGCTGATTTGGCTGTTTTTTTCAAAACATTATAGATATTTTAGGTGAGTTTTTTCTTTTTTCTTTTTTTCTTTTTATTTTTTTTGTTGTTGTTGTTGATGGAGTCTCACTCCGCTGCCCAGGCTGGAGTGCAGTGGCGTAATCTCGGCTCACTGCAATCTCCGCCTCCTGGGTTCAAGCAATTCTCCTGTCTCAGCCTCCTGAGTAGCTGGGACTACAGGCGCCTGCCACCATGCCCGGCTAATTTTTGTATTTTTAGTAGAGACAGGGTTTCACCTTGTTGGTAAGGCTGGTCTCGAGCTCCTGACCTCAGTAGATCCTAGGTGGGGCTTTTAAAATACAGCTTTATTGAGTTATAATTCACATATCATACACATTCATCTTATAGGAGAGCTTTTTTTTTTTTTTTTTTTTTTTTGCGACAGAGTTTTGCCTTTGTCGCCCAGGCCGGAGTGCAATGGCACGATCTCAGCTCACTGCAACCTCCGCCTCCTGGGTTCAAGCGATTCTCCTGCCTCAGCCTCCCGAGTAGCTTGGATTACAGGCATGCGCCACCACAGCCGGCTAATTTTGTATTTTTAGTAGAGATGGGGTTCCTCCATGTTGGTCAGGCTGGTCTCGAACTCCCGACCTCAGGTGATCCACCCACCTCGGCCTCCCAAAGCGCTGGGATTACAGGCGTGAGCCACTGCACCCAGCCGGGAGAGCTTTTAAGGAGGTGTTAATTATTGAGCATAGAGCCTCGTATTTGAAACTATTTCTAAGACACACTGTTTGCATCATGCAGTTGTGGGAACTAAAGTGGTGTTCCACACAGTTAAATTTTCTTTGAAGGACAGAGGTTGATCCATTTTGTGCTTGATTCGACAATTACCTGTCTGTGTGATCAGCGGGTGTCGTATGTGTGCTGTTAAGGCAGTTGGGGTATTATGCTTAATCAGTTTATTTGCATGTTATTTTGATTCTGACCAGAATGGAGCAATGAAATATTATAATGAAATTCTAGTACTTTTTAAATATGGGAGACCAACTGTAATTTATTCATAACCCTTTGCTTAACCTTATCCCATAGTGTTATTAATAGGACATAGCCAGCCAGTACAAAGATGATCGCTTTGGTTTGTTCGTTTGTGAATTATTTGTCCAGTAATACTCCTCATGATGAATACTCTCTTACAGATGTGAGAAGGGTGTTATGTCTCTAGTGAATGTCAGGAACTGTATTCGCTTCTACCAGACGGCAGAGGAGCTGAATGCCAGCACACTGATGAACTACTGTGCAGAAATTATTGCAAGTCATTGGGTGAGTGAGGTTGAGGGTGTCAACAAAGCACTCTAGCTGGCAGTCAGGAGACCGCCGCTGGGGACGTAGTTCCATGGAAAGTGACCTCTCTGGCACCTGGTTTTCTCTTGTTACACAATTGAAGAATAAATAGTTTGATTAGATGATCTATGAGACTCTTTTCAACTCAAATTCTGGTAGTTCTGTGATTTCGGAGCCAAAGGACAAAAGATAGCTCAGGTCTGGCCAGGCGCGGTGGCTCACGCCTGCAATTCCAGCACTTTGGGAGGCCCAGGCGGGCAGACCACTTGAGGTCAGGAGTTCGAGACCAGCCTGGCCAACATGGTGAAACCCCATCTCTACTAAAAATACAAAAATTAGCTGGGCTCAGTGGTGCGTGCCTGTAGTCCCAGCTACTCAGGAGACTGTGGCAGGAGAATCACGTAAACCCGGGAGGCGGAGGTTGCGGTGAACTGAGATCGCGCCACTGCACTCCAGCCTGGGTGACAGAGCGAGACTCCGTCTCCCGCCCCCCCAAAAAAGATAGCTGAGGTCCAGAAACAGGCTTGGAAGCATCACCTGCCTTCACCCTCCATCTGTGGAAGCTGCTGCTGAGCTGCAGGAGTAGGGTGTGGCTCCACGGCCAGCAGGCCCTGCAGCTTCAGCAGCACAGTTTCAGAGCTTGCCCTTGCTCTCCTAATCAGGCGGAGAGCATCTTTCAGTTTAGATTTCCCTTTCTTAGGTTGTTTCATCATAAAGAACAGTGTTTACATTTTTTTTTTTTTGAGACTGAGTTTCGCTCTTGTTGCCCAGGCTGGAGTGCAATGGCACGGTCTCAGCTCCCTGCAACCTCCGCCTCCCAGGTTCAAGCGATTCTCCTGCCTTGGCCTCCTGAGTAGCTGGGATTACCGGCATGCAGCACCACGCCTGGCTAATTTTGTATTTTTAGTAGAGACGGGGGTTTCTCCACGTTGGTCAGGCTGGTCTCAAACTCCCAACCTCAGGTGATCGATCCGCCCACCTCGGCCTCCCAAAGTGCTGGGAGTACAGGCGTGAGCCACTGCGCCCGGCCAGTGTTTACATTTTGTTGTTGTTGTTTGCAGTTTTAGAATATTAGGGCTGGTGCTACCTTTTGCAAATTAGTTTCTGCGAATTGTTTGGTATTCAACAACACTGTGGGAAAAGCCTTAGAGTTTCAGAAAAGGCGGCTAAAGAACTGGATTTTAAGGCATTGAAACAGGATTGGTAACCTTTCTTTTAAAATAGGCAGAAATATAGAGATCTGCAATAATAGGGACCAGCTGCGACTCAGTGGAGTGACTTGTTTGTGGAAGTTGGAATTGATTTTGTAACTGCCATCTTTCAGGGGGTGGGAGGAGGACTCCCTGCTCTCATGTGAGGCTCCCTTGGGGCGCATTCCTGTTAGAGGTATGCATGGCTGGTGTTTTGCCACCTCACTGGGAGGCACAGTAATGCTGGAGGAGAGTGAGGCTCGGAACGTCAGCCTTCTGGTTCCCCAGCCATTTAAGGACTGTCTGAACTTGAGCAAGTTATCTAATCTCTTTATGCCATAATATTTTCTTCTGTAAAATGGGGATGTTCAAGTACTTACTTCATTGGGTTTTGGGGAGAAATAAATGAGTTGGGAAAGGTTAAGCCCTTAAAGAAGGGCCTGACTGATGCATTTGAGAGGCTTGCTAAATGGTGGTTGGATTCATTGCCTTGTGTCTGTTCTGCTTTTCACTGTGTTGTGAATTCTCAGGACGACCTGAGGAAGGAGGATTTCAGCAGCATGAGCGCTCAGTTGTTATACAAAATGATCAAATCCAAGACAGAGTACCCGCTACATAAAGCCATCAAAGTGGAGAGAGAAGACGTGGTCTTCCTGTATCTGATTGAAATGGATTCCCAGGTACTGTAGCTGCCTTTTCCATTCTTCATTTCCCGAAACTCTAATGCACTTGTCTTTCTCCGTGGTACTTCTCACTTCCTTCCGAGCCATGACTGGCACAGTCTTTAACGTACGGATTTCTACTAAATAGTTTGTTCAAGGCAATCTGAGCTTTTTCTAACATGTTTCTCAAAATTCTTCCAGCCTTAGCCCATTGCCCAATTTAAAAACCTCTTAAATGCTTTTAGGTAGTTTTTTTTTTTTTTTAAACGCTTCTTAACTTTTAGGTGCCAAAATCTGTGTTAGTTTACTTTTGCTGCTATAATAAATTACCATAAACTTAATGGCTTAAAACAACACAAATGTATTGCCTTACAGTTTTGTAGGTTGGAAGTCTAGGACAGGAATCACTGGCCCAAAATCAGGATGTCGGCAGGCTGTGCTTCTTTCCAGAGACTCAAGAGGAGAATCCATTTCCTGCTTATTTGGATCTTTGGCAGAATTCAGATTCTTGCACTTACAGGATCGAGGTCCCCATTTTCTTGCTGGCTGTCAGCCGAGGGCCATTCCCACCTTCTAGAGCCCTCCACACATTCCTTAGCTCATAGCCCCCGGCTTTTGTCTTAAAAGCCAGCAGTGGTGGGTCAGGTGCTTCTCATGTCACATCTCTCTGACTTACTCTTCTGGTTCCCTTTTTCACTTTGAAGGACTTGTGTGGTTAGATAGATCGGGCCCTCTGTGGTTAGATAGATCGGGCCCTCTGTGGTTAGATAGATCGGGCCCTCTGTGGTTAGACGGGTCGGGCCCTCTGTGGTTAGATGGGTCGGGCCCTCTGTGGTTAGATAGGTCGGGCCTCCTGGATAATCTGGGATACTGTCCCCATCACAAGGTCCTTAATCACATCCTCAAAGTGCCTTTTGCCATGTAACGTGGTATGTTTATAGGTTCTGGGGATTAGGACATGTCCGTCTTTGGGGGGGGTGATAATTCTGCCCACCATATGACCTTGAAAGAAATGTAATGGCTCTTGACAGATGGGAGCGAAGTATGTTTTATCCCGGGTGTCCAGTGTATGGGGAGACATTAAACTGCTGGGAAGAATGAAATAGGAACGCCACTGCCTTTCATGAAAACATTAGCTGTTCACCGTAAAACTCTCTGAGCCTCTGCCTGGCACTCGTGCCCCACAGCACTCTGTCCACATTTTCCTGGTGGCCTTTAATCGTCTCCCACATTGTTTATGTTGGCTATGTGGTCCCCATTAATTCTGTACTCCCTGAAAACATGTACCCTGAGGAAGCCTGATAGAAGTTTGTGAATAAAGTTGAATTTGGGGAGTAAGCAGTGTTGGAGCACTTAAATTTGACATTTGTATAAGAGATGATATTTAAGGGTCAAGGTGGGAGAAATTAAAATAGGTCGTATTCTCTACTCACTGGGCGCTAATTTACAAACTTGTTTGTGTAGCTCCCTGGGAAGCTGAATGAAGCGGATCATAACGGAGATCTGGCATTAGATCTAGCCCTCTCACGACGACTGGAGAGTATTGCCACCACGCTGGTTAGTCACAAAGCTGATGTGGACATGGTGGACAAGAGTGGCTGGAGCTTGTTACACAAAGGAATCCAAAGAGGTAGGAAGAAGTGTGTATGTTTCCCTGCAGGCAATTTTATTTTTATCCGAGTAATTTTTGAAGACTTTCTGACCTTGTTCCCAAAATTCTCAAAGGCTTCTGTAGTCTGTACTCACAGGCTACATGATCTAGAATTTGATCATTGGGTCAGAGGAAGCACTCAAGAGCTGTTGCCTATGCCGTGTTAGTTTGGCCATTCACCGTGCCAACAGGGCCCCAGAAAGAAAGGCTACAAAGATGGTACTTGTGTGAAGAAGTACCTTTTACTTGTAAGCACTTGATATGTTTGCTTGTTCAATGGATGGCTTTCTCCAGGAATTGTGCTAGGAAGGTTTTGCTTTTGTATTCTACCACAGATACAAGGATAGTAGCAAAACCATAAACCTTGAAACGTGTTCTTAGCTTCAGGGTTTTCACTTTAACAGGCTAGGCCTCTATTATGATAAATTGATAGAGTTTCATTTTGTTCTAGCAGAGTTATTTGAAATTGTAGCTATATTTTGAATGCATTGTTAATAGTTGGAAGAATACAGAAATGATAGACTTGAGAACAAAACATTTAAATCTTTTTTTTTTTTTGAGACGGAGTCTTGTTCTGTCGCCCAGGCTGGAGTGCAGTGGTGCGATCTTGGCTCACGGCAAGCTCCGCCTCCTGGGTTCATGCCATTCTCCTGCCTCAGCCTCCCCAGTAGCTGGGACTACAGGTGCCCACCACCACGCCCAGCTAATTTTTTGTATTTTTAGTAGAGACGGGGTGTCACCGTGTTAGCCAGGATGGTCTCGATCTCCTGACCTGGTGATCCACCCACCTTGGCCTCCCAAAGTGCTGGGATTAGAGGCGTGAGCCACCGCGTCCTCCCAGAACATTTTAATCTTAATGAATTAACTTGTCAAAGGAAAAAAAAAATACTAGGTTTTTGTTTGTTTTTTTCCATAGTCTTACTAATTCATGAGTCCCAAATGGATCTGGGCTGATTTTGCTTTGCAATGGTCATTTTAGACAGAGTGAAATCTGTATAGAGGTAGAGTTCCAGTGAGAAATGAAAGCTTTCCAAAGTGTCAAAGCGTTAGTTTTGTGGAGGGATGGTTGACTTGATTGAAGTGCATTGCCATGGCCACTTTTTTTTACTTACACGTAGACATCAAAGAGAGAATCTACTTGTTTCGTTCCATCTTAATCATCTATATTTTCCCCTTTTGATGATGCATTGTTATACTATTATTGTCTGTGCTACATTTTTGCCATTCACAAATTGCTCCTAGTTGGTGGAATGTAGTTACATCAAGATGTGGTCCTGTGCCAGCTTTGTCCTTTTTGGGCCAAGGTTTTAATACAAGTATCCTTATAAGCCATGTGCTGGAGTGCTGAGCTTGCTGGCTGGTAGAGAGGAAAATTTTGCTCATCACTGGGTAGGAAATCCTTCGAGTATGTCAGTGTCAAGAGCAGATGCATCTTCCTCAAGCACCGTTATGTGCTGTGCAAAGCCAGCGGGTGCTTAGCACTGAGTGTGATTCAGTGGGGAAATCTCCACCACGTAGGGAATGATTCTTTCCCACACTGTTTCGTGTCTGAGATGTTTATTTTGGAAACAGATACCCTGTTACTAAAAAAAAAAAATCTGAGAATTTTGTTTCTTTCCTCCCAGGGAGTTAATTCTTATGTTTGATGATAAATCATCTTTGAGTTATTAAATATTTTGGTGATTGCTTAGATACAAGAATTGCCAAGAATTAGTGATACATTTTTGATGTTTATTTTCAGATGATTTAACCTTCCACTCTGAGTTTATTAATTGCTTGCAAGTATGTGGATTACAGCGTGGGTATAATAAACTTGATTTTGCTAACTTTAGAGTGTTGCATATTACGGTAGACAGAGCACTGGCTTTATGAAGCTGGTATTCACCAAGGTTTGAATCTGAGCTCATCTGTTTACTCTGTGGCCTTGGACAAGTCACATTCTACGTCTTCCTTATCCATAAAGTGGGAATTACTTTTGCTTTATTGGTTTGTTCAGAGAATGCGAGGCAATGTTAGTAGTACACCCAGCAGTGATTACCAGGGGAATGGTGGGGTCAACCCTGCCATTCATCGCTTGCCCCTGCGTTGGAAATGCCATAACCAGGTCCAGTTCCTGTAGGAGTTTTTTTCACTTTAACTGTTAAAGAGTGAAAGTCTTTAATATATGAGATTTTGGTTTAGTCTGAGCACACATTAGAATCTGTCAACAAAATAGTCAGTGATCATCCTAATAACCAAGTATACCAGTCATTTTATCTAAAGAGTGGAACAGGCAGGCAGTGTCTTGGGGGAGTCCACAGGGGGCACATGTTTGGCCAGAGGGATGCCATCTCCTTGGATTAGCCTGATCTGAGCAAGAAGATGAGTCTTCACTTTATAAAAACAGTTCTTCCTGAACTTTTTTACCTTAATAACCAACATCAGTTGATGGGTTTCTTTTTTCTTTCTTTCTTTCTTTTTTTTTTTTTTTTTGTTGTTGTTGTTGAGACGGAGTTTCGCTCCTGTCACCCAGGCTGGAGTGCAATGGCTCGGTCTCGGCTCACTGCAACCTCTGCCTCCCAGGTTCAAGCGATTCTCCTGCCTCAGCCTCCTGAGTAGCTGGGATTACAGGCACCTGCCACCACGCCCGGCTAATTTTGTATTTTTAGTAGAGACTGGGTTTCTCCATGTTGGTCAGGCTGGTCTTGAACTCCCAACCTTAGGTGATCCGCCCGCCTCAGCCTCCCAGAGTGCTGGGATTAAAGACGTGAGCCACTGCGCCTGGCCGATGAGTTTCTTCAGTAGATTGTTCCTGTTATTTTTAGTAAATTTGAAAATGATGCCACCAACTGGAGCAGCATGAAATATGGTTTGTATTAATTGAATAATGAAGGTTACTGGCTGAATAAAACCATCAAGAAGCTGCATTGAAAGAAATATTATATATGGATTTTTTTAGTGTGAAGTTTTTTGTTAGGAATATTTTTATATGGACGGATTGTAATAGTCAATAGTCATGCCTCATTTACCTGGCAGTGTCAGTGAATGAGGTGATGAAGTAACTGAAACTTTTAAGCACCAGCTTTTATTTTAACTGTTTCTGATGATTTGAAATCTTTCTAAAATGTGTTAACCATTTTCTTATTGACAGAAACCTTATAAACGGTGATTGTGACATTTTCTGTTCCCTCCCTTTGTTCTGCTCTTCTGATATCAGTTGTCCTTTTCCTTTATGTACCCTCTGGGCTTTCTTTTAATGTAAAACTTTATTAATTTTCTATTTCTAGTAATTTCTAAATAGCTTCTTTGTGTGGGGTGAATATATATATATATATATATGTGTATGATTATAAGTAAAAAGAACTTTATATTTGGATCTTATTAATAAAGTAAATCTGATCCAAAGTCTATAATTCTTCTAAGAGGACTTAAGGATTTAAGATATAAAATTTTTTTTTATCATGCTATCCATCTGAATCCAGTCATTCATAGGTTTTCATATACCTGTGCAGTATTGCCCAGTTTATCTTCTGTATGTTTGGTGTATTATACATTTTTCATTAACCTATCTTTTCTTAGCTTTACTGTGTATTTATCTCTCTTTTTTTTTTTTTTTTTTTTTTTGAGACGGAGTTTCGCTCTGTCGCCCAGGCTGAAGTGCAGTGGCACAATCTCGACTCACTGCAAGCTCCGCCTCCCGGGTTCACGCCATTCTCCTGCCTCAGCCTCCCGTGTAGCTGGGACTACAGGCGCGCGCCACCATGCCCGGCTAATTTTTGTATTTTTAGTAGAGACGGGGTTTCACCGTGTTAGCCAGGATGGTCTCGATCTCCTGACCTCGTGATCCGCCCGTCTCGGCCTCCCAAAGTGATGGGATTACAGGCGTGAGCCACTGCGCCCGGCCTCTTTTTTTTTTTTTTAAGACACAGTCTTGCCCTGTCACCCAGGCTGCAGTGCAGTGCTGCAATCTCGGCTCACTGCAACCTCCGCCTCCCGGGTTCAAGCGATTCTCCTGCCTCAGCCTCCCTAGTAGCTGGGATTACAGGCACATGCCACTACGCTTGGCTAATTTTTCTATTTTTGTAGCGATTGGGTTTGCCATGTTGGCCAGGCTGGTCTCAAACCCCTGGCCTCAAGTGAAATGCCCGCCTCGGCCTCCCAAAGTGCTGGGATTACAGTCAGGAGCCGCTGCGCCCGGCCACTATGTATTTGTGTCTTAGTTTGGAATATATTTTAAGCTTAAAGGTAATGAAACTACATTAACCCTTCTCCCCTGAGTATCTCATATTTTGGACTTTTCATTAAGGCCCTTTGTCCTAATAATTCTAAAGTTTCTTTCTACTCCCAGAATGTAAGTGGCCGTCTCTAGGATATTTAGTTGTATTGCTAATATATTGTTGTCTTTACATATTTTTTCCTATACCAAATCCGTGTGGAGTTTGTTCATGCTACAGAGTAGGACCCTCTGCGTATATGTATAAATGGATAGCAAAAGCCTGACCTAGCCTAACCCCCTATATGCATGTTACCTGCTGCCTGCAGTGCTTTACTGCCTCTGTACTGTGAAGAAATCTAAGCTTTGATACTGGGAAAGATTGCAACCTTCTGCACCCCTTACCCCACCCAAAACGGGAGCAGAAGAATGAAAATATTTCAAGAGAAGGGACTTACTGGAAAATTGTTAAGTTACCTGAAGTCATGATTCATTCAAATAAGAGCCTTTCTGATAAAGTAGAACCCAATAGCCCTAACCAGTCAAATCCATTTTCTTCTCAAACATTTCCCAGGTTCTGTTTTGTATAAGACAGTGTGAATACAAAAAAAAAAAAAAAAAAAAAAAATCAGACACAGGCCAATCTAGCATCTGAGGAGCGAGTCAGCATCTGAGGCCTCTTGTCTGCCCCAGTGCCAGAGCCCACATTCTCTAGCAAGATGGTCTCTTGGAAGAAAGCATAGAGCAGATGGGAAGTGTTGAAAAAGAGACAATCGGCCTGGGCGCAGTGGCTCACGCCTGTCATACCAGCACTTTGGGTGGCCAAGGTGGGAGGATCACTTGAGGCCAGGAGTTTGAGTCCAGCCTGGGCAACATAGTGAGACCTCACCTCTACAAAAATATTTTCAAATGAGCCAGGCAGGGTGGCATGCGCCTGTACCCCTAGCTACTTGGGAGGCTGAGGCAGGAGGATTTCTTGAGGCTGGGAGGCTGAGGTTGCAGTGAGCCATGATGGTACCACTGCACTCCAGCTTGACCAACAGAGTGAGACCCTGTCTCAAAAACCAAAAACCAAAACAAAAGCAAATGATTTTCTAATTTCATACCTACTGAGAACCAGATGAAACCTGTATATTCAAATGAAAATGGGCACAGGAATACAGGCAACAGACCTGAGAGAGCTTTACCACTCCTGAAACCCCATTCTAGATATTCAGACTGTAGATATGTAGTCGAAGGAGATGAAATGATATCGTAAGATATGAAAGGAAAACTTTGGAAGAGAGAGAAAATCATCGTCTCGAGTTGTGATTCAAAGGAGTCTGCACTCACAATTCTAACAATTAGGAACCGAAGCATCCTGATGCAAAGACAAAAGCACATCCTATGGAAAGATCCATAAATTAAAGAAGTTCCAAGGCAGCTTCAACAATCTAGCATTCATCGCAAGGTCACCCACACATTTAAGGAGTATAGTCAACTCTCATGGGACCAGCAAATCAAACTCTAGGACGTTGTTCTGCATGCTGGGGATCATCCAGCTGAAGAAGGATGTGATTTGCAAGAAATTCATCCTGTAGACCTTGGTGAAATGGAGACGGAATCTGCAGAAAGTACCTCTGAATCCCAGCTCTTGGGTTAACTTGCTATCACCCATCAGAGTCACACATGGGGACTTCAAGTTGCAAGTTGCAAATGATTTTTATTTGGAAGATGTTTAACTGAACCCTTGAAAGACTTTCCAGGCCAGGTGCCGTGGCTCACGCCTGTAATCCCAACACTTTGGGAGGCTGAGGTGGGCGGATTGCTTGAGCCCAGGAGTTCAAGACCAGCTTGGGCAATGGTAGCAAAACCCACCTCTACCAAAAACACAAAAAAATTAGCCGGGTATGTTGGCGTGCACCTGTAGTCCCAGCTACTCAGGAGGCTGAGCTGGGAGGATCAACTGAGCCCTGGAAGTTGAGGCTGCAGTGAGCCGTGATGATGACACTGCACTTCAGCCTGGGTGACAGAGTGAGACCCTGTCTCAAAAACAAAAAAAAAATCCCCAAAACCCAACTTTCCCGATATGAGCTCATTGATGCCACCTGGAGGCTACTGAGAGCAATTGCTTTCACCCAGCAAGGCGTGATGCCCCAAGCCTTTGTAACAGGTTTCTGTTCTGTGTGTTATGATGCTTTGCTATTCTTGCCTTGTTTTCTTAAGAAACATACATTTTATATATACATGGTGTTTGCGTGTTTTAAATGTTAAATATAACTAAATCCAAGAAAGACTGAACTTTTAATCTTACAACAAATTTAATTGCTTAATCCTTGTCATCCTCCAAGTTAACTTGACAAGTAAACTTTAACTGGTTTTTCAGAAGTATTTTTTAACACTAAATGGCCACTTGTCAGATTGCTTAGTTCCGAGTTTAACCATGTATTTGTAGAACCAATCTAGAGTCAATTTCTCTTTACTAGTGTCTGACAAAGTATTTTCACAAATGTGTACCATTAACATTTTCATCTTAATTCTTGGCCTTTTGTCAACATGTCAAGGTAGTTTTTTTCACTCCTACAGAGCATAAATAGTCAAAGATGGTAAATGAAACTATTAAAATTAATGAATTTTGGCCAGACACAGTGGCTTATGCCTGTAATCCCAGCACTTTGGGAGGCTGAGACAGGTGGATCCCTTCAGCCCAGGGGTTGGAGACCAGCCTGGGCAACATGGTGAAACCCCATCTCTACTAAAAATATAAAAAATAAGCCAGGCATGGTGGCATGCGTGCCTGTAGTCTCAGCTATTCAGGAGACTGAGTTAGGAGAATCCTCTGAGCCAAGAAGTTGAGTCTGCAATGAGCCGTGATCGTGCCAGTGCACCAGCCTGGGTGGCGGGGGTGAGACTCTGTCTCAAAAAATAAGAAGAAGAATGGTTTTTCTGTAAGTTACTCAGCCTTTGTTGAGTCAGGATCTCTCTCTGTCACCCAGGCTAGAGTGCAGTGGCACAGTCATAGCCCACTGCAGTCTCGAACTCTGGGGCTCAAGCGATCCTCCCACCTCATCCTCCTGAGTAGCTGGAACCACAGCTGTTGTCACCGCTCCTTGCTAAGTTTTTTTTTGTAGAGATGGGGTCTCCCCATGTTGCCAGGCTGGTCTTGAACTCTTGGGCTCAAGTGATCCTCCCACCTCGGCCTTCCAAAGACCTGGGATGTTATTCAGTCTTAATTTGATATCTGTAAATTGTCCTAGGTAGACTCTTATCTGTAATACTCCAAGAGGTAAGTCAATGGAAGGGATTTAGAAAGAAATTTTGTTTCCACAACAAGGTTATTTACCATGTGAAATTTTTGTAAATAGTAATGTGTACAGATACTCTGTTCAAATATTTCATTGTAAACTTCTTATTAAGTCAGTTATGTGTATATAATGAGATTACAAAACTAAAAAGAGGCCGGGCACGGTGGCTCACATCTGTAATCCCAGCATTTTGGGAGGCCGAGGCAGGTGGTTTTCCTGAGCTCAGGAGTTTGAGACCAGCCTGTACATCATGGTGAAACCCCGTCCCTACTAAAATACAAAAAATTAGCCAGGTGTGGTGGCACATGCCTATAGTCCCAGCTGCTTGGGAGGCTGAGACATGAGAATTGCTTGAATTTCGGAGGCGGAAGTTGCAGTGAGCTGAGATTGCACCACGGCACTCCAGCCTGGGTGACAGAGCAAGGCTCTGTCTGAAAAAAAAAAAAATCTAAAAAGAAAATAAATTTTATAATAATAAAACAGACATGGGATTACTCTGAGTAGGAACGTGAATGCAAGTACAGCAGAATGGGGGTAGGTGTTGCTTAGTTAGGTACAAGCTGTGGTCAGGAAATAAGAAAGAAAGAGAAAGAGAGAGAGAAATTGTGTAGGGAGGGATCCTGGAAACCCTTCTGAGAGATGACCGAAGGAGGCCTTTGAAGAGTAGAAGCCTAGTGTTCTTTTTTTTTTTTTTAAGACGGAGTTTTGCTCTTAATCCCCAGGCTGGAGTGCAATGATGTGGTCTCAGCTCACCGCAACCTCCACCCCCTGGGTTCAAGCGAATCTCGTGCCTCAGCCTCCCAAGTAGCTGGGATTACAGGCGTGCACCACCACGCCCGGCTAGTTTTGTATTTGTAGTAGAGACGGGGTTTTTCCCTGTTGGTCAGGCTGGTCTCCAACTCCCGACCCCAGGTGATCCGCCCACCTCGGCCTCCCAAAGTGTTGGGACGACAGGCATGAGCCACTGCGCCTGGCCCAGCCTAGTATTCTTAAACAGTGAAAGGATACTGAGGTGAGGAGGCAGGACAAGTGGTAACAGGTAACCAAAAATTGAGCAGAGCCTTTTGAATTCGTCTGTAACTCCATGATCTCAATGAGTTTCCACTTACAGATGCCCCAAGAGGTTCCTTCAGACACATCTAGTTATCGCTCTCCTTTGTCTGCAGTCATTTTCTGCTCCCTCTTGAAGAAGCACTGGCCAGAATACTTTGCCCTGACACTGTTTCTTCTATTATTTCTTTTCAAGGAGATCTCTTTGCTGCCACTTTCCTCATTAAGAATGGGGCCTTTGTCAACGCTGCTACACTGGGTGCCCAGGAGACACCACTGCACCTTGTGGCCTTGTACAGTTCAAAGAAACACTCAGCAGATGTGATGTCTGAGATGGCGCAGATTGCAGAGGCCCTTCTGCAGGCTGGTGCCAACCCCAACATGCAGGACAGCAAGGGGAGGTAAGCTGGGGAGCAGACACTGTGCCCTTAGCACTGTTCTCAGAAGATATCTTACAGTAGCATGTAATTGGCATACGGGGAGTTCATGTTCTTTAGTTTGGCATTATTCAGTCTTATTTTCATTAAAGTCACAGACATCGATGTGTAGTAGTAGTGTCACTACTAAAACCAGAGGCATTTGGGGAAAACATTTCTATCCTGGGTAACTGAAGTCTTCGAGGTTTTTTTTGTGTGTTGTTTGTTTGTTTTTAATTGTGTCAGCATCTCACTCTGTCACCCAGGCTGGAGCGCAGTGGTATGATCTTGGCTCACTGCAGCCTCTACCTCCTGAGCACAGGTGATCCTCTCACCTCAGCCTCCTGAGTAGGTGAGACTACAGGCACACGCCACCCCACTTGGCTGATTTTTGTATTTTGGTGGAGACAGGGTTTTGCCATGTTGTCCAGGCTGGCCTCGAACTCCTGAGCTCAAGCAATCTGCCCACCTCGGTCTCCCAAAGTGCTGGGATTACGGGCGTGAGCCAGTTTTCGAGCTTTTAAGCAATTTGTATCTCATGTTTGAAGGAACCAGAGTGGTCATCTAGTCCAGTGCCTCCAAGGAAACCTTGTAGCATTTCTTAGAGTTGCTTGGATAGTTTGAAGAACTATTGAGGTCTAATTGTTAGAAAATTCTAATTGTTAGAAAATTCTCTATATTAAACCCAATTTTACCTTCTCGTAAACACTCCCACTTTATCTGCACAGCTTGCTACCTTTGTCCATAGCACGGCCCTTTGCATATTTAACAATATTTATTGTGTTCATTTTGCCCCTTTCCAGAAATAGTTGAGGATTCCTTGTGGTAGGATCTGAGAAAAGGCTACTTGTCTTGGGACAGTGGTGTGAGGGGCTGTGAAGGATAGTTAAGTCACCTGAATCACTGACCACAGTTGGGACCCGCTTGTCATTAGAACATTCTCAGTATTTTATACCTTTGAAAAACCTCTCAAAAAAAAGATTTTTTGTAAAGTTTGGTTGTCAGACAGGAGAATGTATTTATGTGATAGATAAGTACGTAAATAAGATGTAGCTTCATGAAATCTCAGTATCATGTGATAATTACCTTATTTCCTAAAATAATTGCATCCCTTTCCCTGCTGTTGATTCTTTCATTTTTTTCCTCCAACGGCAATAAACTCGCAGTGTGTGTGTGTGTGTGTGTGTGTGTGTGTGTGTGTGTGTGTGTGTGTAGTAGATGCAGCCTTGGGCTCTGACTCAAAGTGTGTGTTTTTGGGGGGAGGTGGGGGGCGGGGTAGGTGCAGCCTTGGGCCCTGACTCACTGTGTGGGTGGGGGGTGGTGGGGGGGGTGGGTGGGTAGGTGCAGCCTTGGGCCCTGACTCGGGGGTGTGTGTGTGTGTGTGTTAGTGGTGGCTCTGCAGTGCCAGTCTCCTGCAGGGCTCCCGAGTGCTAAATGAAAGCAGTGAAAGGGGTTAAATGCCGCTTTCATCAGTTCTTTCCTGTTGCTGCTCTGAGTGTGTTTGAGAAGAATAGAAGATTATGGGGGAGAGTTTCCTTTTAGAATTGATGGAGAAGAGATGAGGGAAAATCTGCACACCTGTGGCAGAAACTGCTGTTCTCAAGAAAATCCTGTCTGTGCCTTCAGGAAGGGGTTGGGATTGAGTTGGGGAGTATTTGAGATCACTTCCTTGAGCTGATTCTTGTCCATTTTGGCCGCTGAATAATGGTCACATATAAGCAGATCCGTTTTCAGGTTTTGATACTGGGTCATGGTTTTAGAAGCCTTGTAGAAATGTGGGATTTCTTGCGGGTGGTGATTCTGCCTGGGATTCTGGTTGCGTCTTGCCGTGAGTCATCCTGAACAGGCCTGTCCTGAACTGACCCCTCTTCTTTTGGATCCCGCAGGACTCCTTTACATGTGTCCATCATGGCCGGGAATGAATATGTGTTCAGTCAGCTGCTGCAGTGCAAACAGTACGTAGGGAGACACGCACAAGTGAGAAGGCGGTTGTGAGGGGGGATTGTGAGTGAAAAATCATTCTTTTTAAACATCTTTAGTGTTGCATATATTAAGAAGTTAAAGTGAGCTAAAAAAAAATGTGTCATTGAAAAAGGGTAAAGAGAAAGAACCAGGTTGTTGTCAGTATAGAGTGTCTCAAAAAGATTGTATGTGCTGTTGACACTGCTTCTGCTTTTCAGACTAGATTTAGAACTCAAAGACCACGAGGGCAGCACGGCTCTGTGGCTGGCAGTGCAGCATATCACAGTGTCTTCTGACCAGTCTGTGAACCCCTTCGAAGATGTCCCCGTGGTAAATGGGACTTCATTTGATGAGAACAGCTTTGCAGCCAGACTCATCCAGCGCGGCAGCCACACAGACGCACCTGACACGGCGACAGGTAAAGCACGTGCCTCCCGAAGGGGCGACGCTGGGGTCTGCAGGCGCCAGGAAATGGCATGTAAATGCCTTCACCCCAAATTTAGAAACTGAACGGCATACTATGAGGATAATTATTTTGTACTTAATTTTATATACAGTAAAAGCCTGGGTTGTCATTTTTAAAAATCCTGTGCTTCAAACAATTGAGCAGACATCAAGTCCCTGAAACTGAAACTTCCATTTATTTAATGCGGCGACTCGCAGACTCTTTGGACTCAAGAATTCCTTTGACCGTCTTAAAAATTGTACCCCAGAGAGCTTTTCTTTAGGTGGGTTATAACTTCAGTATTTACCATATTAGACTACACTTTGAGAACACTGTTTTAATGTATTTCCTTGATCTGACTAAATAAAATAACAGGGATATTTTAAGGAGAGGGATTTGGTGTAATTCAGTATTGAGTACTGGCAATGCATAAAACATGGGTAGGTGTCACTCACACAGGAAGACTTGACCAAAAAAAAAAAAAAAAAAAAAGATGGATATTAAAACAGCCCTTTCCCTAAAGAAGTTAATAATTAAAGGTTGGCCAGGCGTGGTGGCTCACACCTGTAATCCCAGCATTTTGGGAGGCCGAGGTGGGTGGATCACCTGAGGTCAGGAGTTTGAGACCAGGGTGGCCCCTTTAGAGACTGAAACCTGTCGCTACTGAAAAAACAAATTATCAGCTGGGCATGGTGGCGGGCTCCTGTCATCCCAGCTACTCAGGAAAGGCCGGAGAATCGCTTGAAACTGGGAGGCAGAGGTTGCAGTGAGCCAAGATCGTGCCATCGCACTCCAGCCTGGGTGAGGAGACTGAAACTCCGTCTCAAAAAAAAAAAAAAAAAAAAAATATATATATATATATATGGCCGGGCGTGGTAGCTCATGCCTGTAATCCCAAAGCATGGTAGCTCACACCTGTAATCCTAGCACTTTGGGAGGCTGAGGCCGGTGGATCACCTGAGGTTAGCAGTTCCAGATCAGCCAGGCCAACATGGTGAAAGCCTGTCTTTACTAAAAATGCAAAAATAGCTGGGCTGGTGGCCACGCACTGTAATCCCAGCTACTCAGGACGCTGAGGTAGGAGAATTGCTTGAACCCAGGAGACAGAGGTTGCAGTGAGCCAAGATCGCGTCACTGCACTCCAGCCTGGGCAACAGAGCAAGACTCCATCTCAAAAATAAGTAAATTAATTAATTAAAATAAAATAAAAAAAAATTAAAGGTCAGCCAGGCGCAGTGGCTCACGCCTGTTAATCCCAGCACTTTGGGAGGCCGAGGCAGGCAGATCACCTGAGGTCAGGAGTTCGAGACCATCCTGGCCAACATGGTGAAACACCGTCTCTACTGAAATACAAAAATTAGCCGGGCGTGATGGCGATGCCTGTAATCCCAGCTACTTGGGGGGCTGAGGTGGAAGAATCACTTGAACCCGGGAAGCGGAGGTTGCAGTGAGCCAAGATCGTGCATTGCACTCCAGCCTGGGCAACAAGAATGAAACTCCATCTCAAAAAAAAAAAAAAAAAAAAAAAAAAGAGTCGACTGGTGGCTCATGCCTGTACTCTGAGCTACTCAGGAGGCTGATGTGGGAGGATTGCTTGAGGCCAGGAGTTGGAGGCTGCAGTGAGCTATGATCACTCCACTGTACTCCAGCCTGGGTGACAGAGCAAGATTCTCTCTCTTAAAAAACAAACAAACAAAAGGCTTGAATGTTAGACTCTTACAGAACTAGTTTTTATAAAAGTCTGACATGTGTTTGAAAAGAATATGCATTCTTTAATTATAGGATGCAGCATTCTCTATGTGCATTAAATCAAGCTTGTTCATTATGCTGTTCAAATCTTACATATTCTTACTAACTTTTGGACTGCTTGATCTGTCAGTTTCTGAGAGGTATATTAAAATTTTTCATTGGTTATGGTTTTGTCCATTTTTCTTGCTGGTTCTGTCAATTTTATATTATATAGTTTTAATTGTTAAGTCTAGACAGGCTCAGGATTGTTTTTTCTATTGATATATTTCATTTTTCATTATACGTGTAATCTTAGTCCACTAGTTTTTTTAATTTTTAATTTTTATTTTTTTAATTTTAAGGCTAGTCAGGTGAAGCAGTGGGAGTGAAGAAGGAACAAAGAAATCTGTAACTGGTTTTGATGAGTTTTAAACACCACTGCACCCGGACCAGCCAATTCGTCCACTCGCTTTTAACGGTTTAGTGATGTTTTGGCAGTCATGGGTTATCTTTGTTCTATTGGGAGATATAGAATTTAAGTCTTGTGTACAGTGGAATGACTGCAAGCATAAACATGGAATTCGGAGTCTCCAGATTAACCATCAACTAGGAGTCTCCAGATTAACCATCAACTAGGAGTCTCCAGATTAGAGTAACCATCAACTAGGAGTCTCCAGATTAGAGCAACCATCAACTAAGAGTCTCCAGATTAACCATCAACTAGGAGTCTCCAGATTAGAGTAACCATCAACTAGGAGTCTCCAGATTAGAGCAACCATCAACTAAGAGTCTCCAGATTAACCATCAACTAGGAGTCTCCAGATTAGAGCAGCCATCAACTAGGAGTCTCCAGATTAACCATCAACTAGGAGTCTCCAGATTAGAGCAACCATCAACTAAGAGTCTCCAGATTAGAGTAACCATCAACTAGGCGTCTCCAGATTAGAGTAACCATCAACTAGGAGTCTCCAGATTAGAGCAACCATCAACTAGGAGTCTCCAGATTAGAGCAACCATCAACTAGGAGTCTCCAGATTAACCATCAACTAGGAGTCTCCAGATTAGAGCAACCATCAACTAAGAGTCTCCAGATTAGAGTAACCATCAACTAGGCATCTCCAGATTAGAGTAACCATCAACTAGGAGTCTCCAGATTAGAGCAACCATCAACTAGGAGTCTCCAGATTAACCATCAACTAGGAGTCTCCAGATTAACCATCAACTAGGAGTCTCCAGATTAACCATCAACTAGGAGTCTCCAGATTAGAGCAACCATCAACTAAGAGTCTCCAGATTAGAGTAACCATCAACTAGGCGTCTCCAGATTAGAGTAACCATCAACTAGGAGTCTCCAGATTAGAGCAACCATCAACTAGGAGTCTCCAGATTAGAGCAACCATCAACTAAGAGTCTCCAGATTAGAGTAACCATCAACTAGGCATCTCCAGATTAGAGTAACCATCAACTAGGAGTCTCCAGATTAGAGCAACCATCAACTAGGAGTCTCCAGATTAACCATCAACTAGGAGTCTCCAGATTAACCATCAACTAGGAGTCTCCAGATTAACCATCAACTAGGAGTCTCCAGATTAACCATCAACTAGGAGTCTCCAGATTAGAGTAACCATCAACTAGGAGTCTCCAGATTAGAGCAACCATCAACTAGGAGTCTCCAGATTAGAGTAACCATCAACTAGGAGTCTCCAGATTAGAGCAACCATCAACTAAGAGTCTCCAGATTAGAGTAACCATCAACTAGGCGTCTCCAGATTAGAGTAACCATCAACTAGGCATCTCCAGATTAGAGCAACCATCAACTAGGCGTCTCCAGATTAACCATCAACTAGGAGTCTCCAGATGAGAGCAACCATCAACTAAGAGTCTCCAGATTAGAGCAACCATCAACTAGGCGTCTCCAGATTAACCATCAACTAGGAGTCTCCAGATTAGAGCAGCCATCAACTAGGAGTCTCCAGTATAGAGCAACCATCAACTAGGAGTCGGATTCCTGTCTCTGAGGGATAAGGAAAAACATGGTATGAAAGCAAAGTAGTACTTTGTCCCATTTCTTTTTGTTTGTTTGTTTTGAGACAGTTTCGCTCTGTCGCCCAGGCTGGAGTGCGGTGGGACTATCTCGGCTCACTGCAACCTCTGCCTCCTGGGTTCAAGTGATTCTCCTGCCTCAGCCTCCTGAGTAGCTGAGATTACAGGCATGTGCCACCAGGCCTGGCTAGTTTTTATATTTTTAGTAGAGACAGGGTTTCACCATGTTGGCCAGGCTTGTCTCGAACTCCTGAGCTCAAATTATCCACCCAACTCAGCCTCCCAAAGTGCTGGGATGACAGGCAATGAGCCACCGTGCCCGGCTGTCACAGTTCTTTATCTTGTTTTCAGTCCTGGTGTTTGGTTTATTTAGAATTTCAAATAGTATAGCTGTTGACATGAGAGAGTTTGTTCATTTTTGGAAATGGATTTTAAAAGCTGAGAAACACTGTTTTAGGGCTAAAACCATTTAGAGAGAAAAAAAAACTCATTTTTTTCTTTCCAAGGTTTTTATTTAGAAAAGAGTAACAGTGCTAAGGAAAATATTTCTAAGCCAAGAACAAACATATTTAAAGCATTAGGAATAAAACTGAAGTATTTAAGGGGCATTTTCTAATAGGACTTAAAATGTTTTCAAAATGGTCATCCAGCCAAGTGGTTTTCAGCCAGGCACAATCCTGCCTTTATTGCCTGAGAACATTTGTCAACATCTGTAGACATTTCTTTTTTTTTTTTCTTTGAGACAGAGTCTTGTTCTGTCGCCCAGGCTGGAGTGCAGTGGCACGATCTTGGCTCACTGCAACCTCTGCCTCGTGGGTTCAAGCAATTCCTGTGTCTCAGCCTCCCGAGTAGCTGGGATTACAGGTGTGCACCACCAAGCCTGGCTAATTTTTGTATTTTTAGTAGAGACAGGTTTTCACCATGTCGGCCGGGCTGATCTCAAACTGCTGGCATCAAGTAATCCGCCTGCCTCGGCCTCCAAAAGTGCTGGGATGACTGCTGTGAGCCACCACACTGGCCAACATCTACAGACATTTCTAATTGTCTTTAAGTTCAGAGGATGCTGCCGAACATTGTACAGTGTGCAGAACAGACCCCACAACAAAGAATTTATCCTGTCCAAAATGTCCGTAGCACCACTGTTGAGAAATCTTGCTCTAACCCACCCTCAGCAAGGGGACAGAACTTCCCTCCCGTCCTGGGCAGTGGCTAGCGGGAATCCCAGGGAGGAATTGGATGTTCCAGCCCGGGGCGTTCCCTAGCCTCTGTGTCCACACACAGAGAGTACCTGTGTGGATGCTCCAGCCTGGGGCATTCCCTAGCCTCTGTGTCCACATACAGAGAGTACCTATGTGGACTTAAATGATACCTACTGTCTGGCGTGGGCTTACTGTCTGGCGTGGACCTACTGTCTGGCGTGGACCTACTGTCTGGCGTGGACCTACTGTCTGGCGTGGGCCTACTGTCTGGCGTGGGCCTACTGTCTGGCGTGGGCCTACTGTCTGGTGTGGGCCTACTCTCTGGCGTGGGCCTACTCTCTGGCGTGGGCCTACTGTCTGGCGTGGGCCTACTGTCTGGTGTGGGCCTACTGTCTGGCGTGGGCTTGCCAGTCATAGGGTGGCAGGGAAGAGCAGGGTGTTGTGCAGCGTGACCGCATTTTGATGCAAACAGAAGAATCAGCAATGCCCATTTTCTTTTAGGAAACTGTTTACTACAGCGGGCAGCTGGAGCAGGAAACGAGGCAGCAGCTCTTTTCCTGGCAACCAACGGTGCCCATGTCAACCACAGAAACAAGTGGGTAAGTGTGACAGGGCAGCCGGAGAAAATGGTGTTGATCTATGGAAGAAATGGCAGTGGTGGATATGTAGGAAAAAGGGGAATAGGTGGTTTTTTTCAGTTTTTAATCAGAATAATACATGCATATGGTTAAAAAGCCAGAGTGAAACAGATTATTTTGTGTTTCTTCAAATATTGGTTGATTGATTCATTCAGCAGCCATTTCCTAAGCGTTTGTGTAGGAAACAGTGCTTGTTCAGGTTATCAGACCCCGAACTAGATGCTATGGACTTTAATAGAGGTTAGCAAACGCGTGCACAAACCTACCGCGATAGCATTTGATTCTTGATAACACTTCACATTTGCTTGGGTTTTCCTCTGTGGATTGTCACGTATGAGTCTATGTCGCACGCTAACAAGGTGGAATGTGCGGTGTTATGAATAAAAGTGTTACCTTTGGGGTTGGACGTTACCGAGTTTACCAGCTTTCCCATTTCCTCCCTATGCAGTCTTCTTCTTTTTTTTTTTTTTTTTCTTGAGACACAGTTTTGCTCTTGTTGCCCAGGGTGGAGTGCAATGGGGCAATCTCGGCTCACCACAACCTCTGCCACCTGGATTCAAGCAATTCTCCTGCCTCAGCCTCCAGAATAGCTGGGATTGCAGGGATGCACCACCACGCCCAGCTAAATGCTTATTAGCATAATATCTGAGACATTAGGTACTATTTGATAGTTATTTTTACTTTATTATTTTCAGACCATGAGGATGTGCTTGTCTTCAAGATCACATTTATTTTACGGTCACTTTCTGCTAGCAGCTTTAAGGCTATTATCCCTTTTAATTTTCACAGTGGACCTGGAAGCAGCATGTATCGTTAGGATTGAAGAAGCCTTTCCCACATCAATCAATTCTCTATTTTGGAGTCAAGGACCTTGAGGTTCTGAGAGGTTAAGTGGCTTATAAATAATGAGGTGTCCACATTAAGACTCCAGCACAAGGCTATCTAGTTGCACACTGTCTCAACAGCACTGGGCAAGGCAGTAAACAGTGAGCTTGGTATCTGAGCCAGACAAGTGTATCTTGGTACAGGACAGAGGGCAGTGCCATCCTTTCCACTGCTGACTCCACTATGTGTCTGCACACAGCCAACTCTCCAGCCAGAGTGACAGCGCGGCCCCGTGCGCACCGGCCAGAGTGACGGCATGGCCTCGTGCCCACCGGCCAGAGTGATGGCATGGCCCCATGCCCACCAGAGGCTGCTGCTTGTTTTGGGCTCAGCATCTCAGCATCTCGTGCCCTCTCACCTTCTCCATGCCTCTGCTCTTGCCATCGTGTGTCTCTGTCTCTTTCTTTTCCTCCTGCATCATTAGCTTTGCCCATTATTCATTTCTAATAGCATAGAGACATGCTCTACTATCTCCTAACTTAAAATCTTCTGCTGGGCACGGTGGCTCACGCCTGTAATCCCAAAACTTTGGGAGGCTGAGGTGGGCAGATCGCCTGAGGTCAGGAGTTGGAGACCAGCCTGGCCAACATGGCGAAACCCTGTCCCTACTAAAAATACAAAAATTAGCTGGGCGAGGTGGCCAGTGCCTGTAATCCCAGCTACTCGGGAGGCTGAGGCAGGAGAATCGCTTGAACCTGGGAGGCAGAGGTTGCAGTGAGTGGCGATTGCGCTGCTGCACTCCAGCCTGGGGCACAGAGTGAGATTTTGTCTCGGAAAACAAAAAACAAACAAAAAAAAACCTCCCTTGGGCCCACATTGTCTACCCGCTGTTGTTCCTTCTCTGAATACCCTTCATAGCAAAACTAGGTCAAACCCAAGCTGTAGAGAAACGGGAGGCCTCACTTGAAAGCACTGGAGACCAGCACTGCAGAAGGGCCTGGAACACTGGCTTCCGCTGTGTGGGCTTTATCCTGTGGGGACAGAAGAGCCATTGGAGGGTTTTGGGCAGAGAAGTAGTGTGATTCTTCTGGAGCTGAGAAAACTGCCTGGGATGGCTGGCATGGTGGGTGTGCCGTGGAGTCCAGGCTGGAGCCAAGTGGGAGTCATCTTGACAAGCAATGACCTGTCCTGTCCTGTCCTCTCACACTGCATTTGGATCCAAAGGAACAGGTTTCACAGGAATTGCAGAATCAGTCTGTGACACGCATGCTTGAGGCTCCCAGAAGCGAGGGCAAGAGAGCTGTTAAAACCCCTGTGGTGCAAGAATGACGTAATGGAATTTGGGAACTTGGAGGGGAAGCTTGGGAGGGCGGTGGGGGATAAAAGGGTGATACTGGGTACAGTGTACACTGCTCAGGTGACGGGTGCACTAACATTAAGAAATCACCACCGAAGAACTTATCCGTGGAACCAGAAACCACCTGTACCCCAAAGACACTGAAATACGAATTTAAAAAAAACAGTTGCGGCGAACCCATGGAAAAACAGAGGAAACTGGCCAGGAGGAGGAGCCTGTGTGTGGGAATAAATTCCATTGTGATTTTTGAATTTCTACACATTTAAGGTAGGGATGTCTAACAGGCAGTGGGAAAATTAGATGCAAGAATGGGGCTGGAGACCTGGGTTTGAGAGTCTCTTCCTTGCAGATAATGGCAGAAGCCGTGGAGTAGATCAGCACACCCAAGGAGAATGCGTAGGAAGAAGGTCTGGAACAGAAGACAGCCCCGAGGAGGAGGGGTAGAGGAGCGGGAGGAGCAGGGGAGGAGGAGGAAGAGGACATACTTGGGCGGGCTCACACTGCAATTACAGTTCCCCTGTATGGGGAGGATTTGGGATGGGAAGCGCGCACTCTGGGTCAAGGCGTAAAAGTACTCAATCCTTATCTGCCACAGTGGAAAGTCCCACAGATAATGTTCAAAGCTGGAAAATCAAGAGGCAGCAATAAAAACATGTTGGTTAGAAATATGGAGAGTTACAAAACCCAGCTGGAAGAGTTAAAAGTGATTCCTGCTGGGAAAGGATATTTTTTTTTTTTTAGGCTAGCCAAGTGAGGCAGTGGGAGTGAAGGAACAAATGAATCTGTAACTGGTTGTGATCAGTTAGTTGTAAACATCACCGCCAGGGATCTTGCTGATTTTTACAAGAAGCCTTGGAGAGTTCTTGCCTCTAAGTGATGATGTATAACTCTGATGAGGGCAGGCACCTTATGCAAGCGCCGTACTGCAGGCAGAGTGGTGCATTCCGTTCATTTCCACTTGTTGGGGTGAAAACACTCCAGTGTGTGTGTTTACATACGGACATACACGTGGACACGCCCACATGCATGTGTGTGTGCATACGTGTGTTTTCCTGGGAGGGTTCTGTCAATGGAGAGAAACATGAAAGTGGTAATAATGGTTCCAAATGTGAGAGGAAACTTCGTTTTAAATGTTGCATCAGGTAGCGGTAATACCAATTAAAAATATTTTTAACTTTTAAAAGTAGGAGAAGGAGGTCTTGATCAGAGCTCAAGATGAGATTGATACAAGCAGGCCACAGAGACGGAGCTAAAGAAGAAGCGACGGCCACAGCGTTAAGGCTGCCGATTGCCGGGGCTTAGGTCCGGGCGGGGGCTGCGCGGCTCTCCCATTTGTTGTACTATTTATTTTGGTGACACTTGGAGCTTGTTATTGTTCTGTCGTGATAAGCATATATTATTTTTATAATTAGAAAAAAAAGAATTATAAAACAAAGCGAAGGGTGGTTAAAGAGGACCTTGGAGGTGAAGTCAAGAAGCCAGTGCTTTCGGAAGGTGCTTGGGGAAGACACTGAAGAAACTAAGGGTGGAACCAGGCGCAGTGCCTCACGCCTGTAACCCCAGCTATTTGGGAAGCTGAGGCAAGAGGACTGCTTGTGGCTAGAAGTTTGAGTCCAGCCTGGGCAACACAGCGAGATGCTGCTTCAAAAAAAAAAATGGGCCGGGCGTGGTGGCTCACGCTTGTAATCCCAGCACTTTGGGAGTCCGAGTTGGGTGGATCACAAGGTCAGGAGTTTGAGACCAGCCTGGCTAACATGGTGAAACCTGTCTGTACTAAAAATACAAAAATTAGCTGGGTGTGGTGGTGCGTGCCTGTAATCCCAGCTACTCAGGAGGCTGAGGGAGGAGAATCGCTTGAACCCGGGAGGCAAAGGTTGCAGTGAGCCGAGATCTTGACACTGCACTCCAGCCTGGGTGACAGAGCGGGACTCCGTCTCAAAACAAACAAAAAAAGATACTGAGAGCGATGGCTCAGGAGAAAGAGAACAGAAGTCAGGAGGGGCAGCTGGCGGCAGGATGAGCCAAGGACCCGAGGTTTTGCACTTAGGCTGCCACGCTCTTTGTGAAGGGAATTCCTGTGAGTGCTCAGATTTCGGCCATTTGTTTCCATTCAGGGAGAAACCCCGTTGCACACAGCGTGTCGGCATGGCCTGGCCAACCTCACGGCAGAGCTCCTGCAGCAAGGCGCCAACCCAAACCTGCAGACGGAGGAAGCTCTGCCTCTGCCAAAGGAGGCCGCATCCCTGACCAGCTTGGCGGACAGCGTCCATCTGCAGACGCCACTGCACATGGCGATCGCCTATAACCATCCGGATGTGGTGTCTGTCATCCTGGAGCAGAAAGGTAAGTAAGTGGGAATACTGTCCATCCTTTTGACTTGGGGACAGCAGTTTAGGATCCTTAGTTACAGAGTTGATGTTTTTTCTGTTGGTGAGTTTCATATGGCTAGTTTCTTACCCCCAAAAAATCCTTTCAGGTCAAACTAGAGAAGCATGTAGTCTGGCTCTTGACTGCTGCTTCCCTGTGTGTGTTTTCAGGATGGGGCCTGCCCATTTCATTTGTTAGGTTAAGCTGGTAGTAATGTCTGTCTTATTTGACTATTTCTCTAGGCCATTTAGTGTAGGTCAAGCAAAGCTGTGCCTCGGTGTGAGCACTGTCTTTGAGAACCCTGTTGTGGCAGGCACCCCATGAGAGAGGGGCCAGAAAGAGGGGCCAGGGGCAGCCCCTGTGGGACAGAAGGGCCGTTTCCCTCAGAAAGTCTCCCTCACGCCTTCTCTTGCCTGTCCTGAGGTTTATTTTGCTCTTGCCTCAATCCTTGTTAAGGACAGTGTTTTTTTAGCCTTGTCCTTCTGGAGGGAGGTTGGGTTTTAGGTACTATGTGCCCTTTTTTTGGTCCTCACAGAAGTTTTAAGACTGTAGGAGGGAAAGTTTTAAGATTGCGTTCTAGGAAACATCATCAGGGCGTTGTTTTAGTCTTTTTAGTAATCAAGCGTGTTTCCGTAATGGAGTCCATTTTTCTTACGTGAAGAGTCAGTGTTTTAAGCTTTAAAAAGATTCGTTTTCCCTGTAAGTTTTGCTCCAAAATATCAGATTTCTGGGCTTTGAGTCTTGACAAGATTTATCTACTCTCTTTTTATAGCATTGATCATATTATACCCAACAGGCAGTTTGAGTTCTTACTCTACTGAAGCTTTAAGTGTGATCCACAGATGGTGACATCAAGTGTTCTTTTACTTTTTCAAACATTTAGCCAATGCTCTTCATGCCACCAACAACTTGCAGATCATTCCGGACTTCAGCCTCAAAGATTCCCGAGACCAGACTGTGCTGGGCCTGGCATTATGGACTGGTAAGGCTGTGCCGGGGCCGCTGATGTCTGCAGACAGACAGCTGTCCGAAGTGGGGCCGGGTGGGACAGAGGGAGCGAGAAAGAAAGAGGAGACTGGGCTAATCATTTGGTTGTAAAATAACATTTCTGTTTGAGTTAAGCCTGTTAGATCCAGTGGAAAACTGCTGGCTTTGAGAAGCTGAGAGGGTCTGGCTGTTGTAGTAAGATGTTGAGGAAGCGGGAAAAGCCGAGCCTGGATGAGATCGGGGCTTGTTTCCCAGGCATGCACACGATCGCAGCCCAGCTGCTGGGCTCTGGAGCCGCCATCAATGACACCATGTCGGATGGGCAGACGCTACTGCACATGGCCATACAGCGGCAGGACAGCAAGAGCGCACTCTTCCTGCTGGAGCACCAGGCAGATATAAATGTCAGGTAGGAGGAAGCCGCTCTCTCCACCTAACACCAGGTAACAATTAATTGAGATGTCAAAAGCATAGCCTCGCTTGTAGAAAAGTGTTTTTGTTTCATATTAGTTAGAGGAAAGGAAACAGTAGCTCTAGAAACACACAACTGCGGTGTCATCACTGAATATCATCAAAAGACTTGATTGTAATGGCGGAAAGGAACTGTCCTTTGCTCTTGTTTGAACCTTTCAGGACCAGTGCATAGTATTGCACAAGTCTCATTGTAAAAAACAATCTAAAATCCAGGTTTTTTTTCCTTTGAGGCAGGATCTTACTCTTTTGCCTAGGCTGGAGTGCAGTGGCACAATCTCGGCTCACTGCGGCCTCCACCTACTGGGTTCAAGCATTTCTCGTGCCTCAGCCTCCCAAGTAGCTGGGATTACAGGCGCCCACCACCACGCCCAGCTCATTTTTGTACTTTTAGTAGAGACGGGGTTTCACCATGTTGGCCAGGCTGGTCTCGAACTCCTGACCTCAAGTGATCTGCCTGCCTCGGCCTCCCAAAGTGCTGGGATTACAGTCATGAGCCACTGCGGCCCACCCTAAAATCAGTTTTTAACAAGGAATTTCAGTTACAATGAAGAATGTTCCAACAAATGAGCCACCAACAAGGCCTGAGAGGGAAAAAGACATGGAGTCAAATTTTTATTGTGGTTGTATTTTCAAAAGAACTTACCTTTATCTCCAAGTGACTGAATGACTGAGTGGGGGAAGGAAGGTTTGCCAGGAGGGTTCTTGGAGTGGCATTTTATTAAGATGCTTTAAAAAGTAACTATAAGATTTCAGCACGCTGGGATGTTATCTCCGAGGGCAATAAGGTGACATGGTTATGTGTTCTAAAAAGTCAGAATGGACAGACACTATTTTCACATTTAATTTCCCTGAGAAAATATTGAATGATTGTGAGTGAATATGATTAGAGACAGAAGATTCTGGACTCTGGAATGCCCAGAAGGGCACCTTCTGTGCTTTGGGTTCAACCACAAACGTTGGTTTGGGTGTGCATGTCCTAGCAGGACTCAGGACGGGGAGACAGCCCTCCAGCTGGCCATCAGAAACCAGCTTCCACTCGTAGTTGATGCCATATGCACCCGAGGAGCTGACATGTCTGTGCCAGATGAGAAGGGGAACCCCCCGCTGTGGCTTGCATTGGCAAACAATCTGGAGGACATCGCATCCACTCTGGTGAGACAGGCACAACGTTAGCCTCTGTTTACAGATGGGGATATGTTGTGTCAGAGATGGATCTGCTGCCTGCGTAGCTGTCACAGGAGCAAGATCTGTCAAGTAACATAGTGGGACAAGGACAAGCAGTTGAAAGCATGTTAAAGAAACTTGCAGTTCAACATGGTCTTGGCTGACCTTTTGTTTTTAGGTCATCTTTACCAAGAAAACTACCAAGAAGCAAGAGAATGGCGGCGTTTCCTCAGGAGCCTTCTCCTGGGGTTGGTTGATTTGCTATGGGGTGTCCTCATTATCACCATAGTGATAATTTCCTCAATCTTAGGTTTATCTCCCTTGTTTGCAAGACAGGCCCCAAAAGTGGAGGCAAACCTGCACATTCTCATTCAGCTCTCCGAAGGGCCTGCAGTGTGATATGAAGGCGTTGTGCACCTGGAGGTTTTACCTAGTTGTTGAGATTACCTGTTAATTGCAGGTGTGTGTTACTGAGGACCCGTTGGTGCATGTGTACACAGACACTTTCTGTTTTCTGTCCCTTCTAGAACTCAGCTCTAAAGGACACAAATTAAACATAACTTGTTTATACTTCCCAAGTCTGTCCCACAGGACCTAGTGCACGAACTTGCACACAGCAAATTTTAATTAGTGTTTGTAAAATAATGAGTGATACAGATTAAAGTAATTATCAATTTATTATCAACCGTATCTTATCTGAAAGTGGATTTAATGCTATACATAGAGCTCAGACTTGGTAATAAAACTGTTTGCCTTTGCTCAGCAGTGTTTGTGAATAACCTATGTTTTTCTGCAGGTCAGACATGGCTGTGATGCCACATGCTGGGGTCCGGGACCTGGTGGGTGCCTTCAGACGCTCCTGCACAGAGCCATTGATGAAAACAACGAGCCCACCGCCTGCTTTCTTATTCGCAGGTCTGAGAGTCCCCAGTATCTCTCCACAGCTTTTTAGTGAGCTTGTTGCAAACTGGCTCTTTCCTTTTTAAATCCGTCTATAGTCTTGGCATGCCAGTAGCCGGCTTGACTTTCACAGTTAAGGTTATCAGAGAGTCACTGTTCTGTCATGTCAAGTCAGCCAGGAGCCAGGCTCACTTGTGACGGGAGGAGCTCACAGCCCTGAATCAAAGAATCTGAAAGCTGGAGTCAGCGTCCTGCTTTGGGAGCTGCCTGAGCTCCTGTAGTCACGGCAGACCAGTTCAGACTGTGAAGCAGGAGGCTATGGCTGGGGAGACCAGATGGTCTCTGCAGGACCCCACCACGATGTGTGAGTCGTAACAGGCTCTGTGGCCCCCTTGGAGTGTGGGAAGTGTGGGAGCCGAGGTTATTCAGGAAGCCTTCACAGCAGTGGTTCTCAGACTAATGGTTTTCTGGTTTTCTTTCTTTCTTTTTTTTTTTTTTTTTTTTTTTTGAGACAGAGTCTTGCTCTCTCACCCAGGCTAGAGTGCAGTGGCACCATCTTGGTTGGCTCACTGCAAACTCTGCCTCCTGGGTTCACGCCATTCTCCTGCCTCAGCCCTGGGACTACAGGCGCCCGCCTCCACGCCCGGCTAATTTTTTTTTTGTATTTTTAGTAGAGACGGGGTTTCACCATGTTAGCCAGGATGGTCTCGATCTCCTGACCTCATGATCCACCCGCCTCAGCCTCCCAAAGTGTTGGGATTACAGGCGTGAGCCACCGTGCCTGGCTCAAACTTTATGGTTTTCAAACTTTCTTTTTGTATTTTCTATTTTTGAGATGGAGTCCCATTCTGTTACGCAGGCTGGAGTACAATGGCGCCATCTCGGCTCACTGCCACCTCTGCCTCCTGGGTTCAAGTAATTCTCCTGCCTCAGCTTCCTGAGTAGCTGGGATGGGAGGTGGGATGGGCGCGCACCACCACGCCCGGTTAATTTTTGTGTTTTTAGCAGAGAGGGGGTTTCGTCACGTTGGCCAGGCTGGTCGTGGACTCCTGACCTGAGGTGATCCACCTGCCTCGGCCTCCCAAAGTGCTGGGATTAGAGGCATGAGCCACCGCATCCGGCTGGTTCTCAGGCTTTAAATGTATGCATATCCCCTGGGAAGTTTCTAACAATTCTGATGCCCGGGTTGCCCACCCCCAAGACCAGTCACAGAAGAATCTATGGGAGTGGAACCCCGACTCTGGTATTTGAGGCCAGGGACCAAGGACAGCAGACCCGGCCACAGCAGACGCTGTTGGATTGGATGAGGCTCCTGCTTTACATTTGTAATCAGCATGCCTATACGCCAGGTCCAAGCGTGGCGTTTTTTAAAATGTCCCCATTCCTTTCAGTGGCTGTGACGTGAACAGTCCCAGACAACCAGGCGCCAATGGAGAAGGAGAGGAAGAGGCTAGAGATGGGCAGACCCCTTTGCATTTGGCAGCCTCTTGGGGGCTGGAAGAGACAGTACAGTGTCTTCTGGAGTTTGGTGCCAACGTGAACGCACAGGTGTGTCGTTTCTCTTTTCCGGGGAGAGAGGTGTAGCCCCAGCATGAGGGAAGCCTCCTCCTATGGCAGAGGACCTTGCACAGTCCCCAGTTCCAGGCGCTGCTGCTTCATGAACACACGACCTCCCTAGCAGCGTTCATGATTTCAGGCTGACTGTGCTTCTCTGTGCCTTTGTCCTTACTACAACAGGAGGAAGATTTGTTTCAGCTCTTTCTCTTTGCCTCCTATTCCCCCTTAGTTACAGATTTCCTCTGAGAGTTTAGTCCCAAATCGCATACTGTATTTAGGAAAATGTCCCAGTAGCTCACTTGAGCACCCCTGAGTTACGCCCTTTGATGCTTTTCAACATTCGAGCCTGTGCAGATTTATATATAAGGCCCTATAGCCAGATAAGGAGTGGTGGCTTAGAGCGGAGACTCACTGCAGATGTGAAACACATGTTTGTGCTGGTCCTACGGTCACCACTGGGTCACTGGAACGTGGTGTAACAGGAAGTGACATTTAGTCATTTCTCTTTGGCCTCTTCAAAAGCTGAGTCAAACACAGGGTGGTAGTATTGATCGATTCTCATAACTGAAATTTGATTTAAAAGTTATACCCTTTCATATTTTTCCTGAGTTTTATCTTGCAATTGAACATTAAATTCTGTGCCTTGTTCCATAGGATGCAGAAGGAAGAACCCCCATCCACGTGGCCATCAGCAGCCAACACGGTGTCATCATTCAGCTGTTGGTTTCTCACCCCGATATCCATTTGAATGTACGAGACAGACAAGGGCTGACCCCGTTTGCCTGTGCCATGACTTTCAAGAACAACAAGTCAGCCGAGGCCATTCTCAAACGAGAGTCCGGGGCTGCTGAGCAGGTGAGTGAATAACACCTGACCTTCTCCACATGGTCCTGGGCGTCGCGGAACCTGGAGACTAGACAGATGTCACCGACTAAACAGGTCTCCTCATGGAAAGAGCTTTGTTTTGAAGTTGTACTCCTGTCCTAAGATGTGGCTGTTGAGATGTCCCATCCGTGCAGGATGAGATCCGGCTCCTCTGCCTGTGTGTCAGCGCCTGACAGTGCCCGGCTTCGATGGAAGCGGAGGCAGTGGGCTCCATCGTAGGAATTCTGTGGCATGTACAGTTGAGCTCATTCTTTGCTTTTGCTAGGTTGGTTAACTGTCCTAGTGAGGAGTGTCTTTGAAAGAGCTTGTGTTGTGATGTTGGGGCAACTTCCTGAGTGTTTCCGAGGAGTTCAGTTGCTCAGTAGCCTCGGCTGTCCTTGTTCTTTGTGGTTCTTTACCAGCTGCTACATCGGGATGGTGAACTGTTGATCTGCAACAAGCAGTTGGCTGGGAAATGACAATCACAACTGATCTGAGTAGGAGGGGGTGGGTTTATCAGGTCAGTCCTGCAGGAACTTGGCTCTCCAGCCAGCACCTAGAGTACTGGCGCATTTATCAGTGGCATTCATGAAGGTGAGATGGAACTTGGGACCCGCGTGAAGTGAGATCCTCGCATGGGTGGAGATGATTGCTTGGTGTCTTAGGCTTCCGTAACCACCGTCTTCAGCATTTTCACAAGTGTGACTGGATTGCGTAGGTGGTGACCTCACGTTTGCTCAGGTGGTGTGAAATGGCCTCTCCCGTTTCTTCTCTCCAGTGTGAAACTGGACTGCTGATGAAAGCGCTTTGTGGATCCGCTGCTTATGAGACTGGCACGTGCCGTGTGTGACGTGTGGGCCTGTGAAGCGGCGTGCCGTGTGTGTGGCACTGGGGTCGCCCTCGCTGCCGCCTCCACACTCATGCTAAGACGGCTCTGGGAACTACAGGAGACGGTGTGCTTTGATTTCATTGAGCTCTGTTGGCTTTCCATCAGCGGAGCAAAGCCCGGGCCCTGCTGTTGGCTCCCTCCCGCATTGTGTATAGAGCGTAGCTCAGTAAGAGGAAACTTTCTCCACGTTTCTCAACCCTTTGTTTGACTGCTCGGGTCAGGCCGGCAGTGCAGCTGGGGCATCAGGATGCTGGGTGCTTGTTTTAGCCAAAGCAAAGAGACTCCCAAGGCTTGTCTCCATTTTCCCTCTCCATGAGTTTCCTGATATCTTGGTGCTTGCGTTTCCCTATCCTTCAGATTGTCTTTTTCTTGGTTTTCCACATCCAGTTCCTACTACAGGAGGCTGCCACAGTGGCTCCCTTCTCCTGACCACGTGGGTGTGGCCACGCACACCTGGTTCTGTGCACAGATGTGTAGAGTGGGTCTGTGGGTGGGTTGGGGGATGGCGTTTCATGTTCATTCTTGGGAGGGGGTTTCCTAAGACTGAGGGAAGGTCTCCATCGTGACCTCTCCAGTGGTCAGTTCAGCTTGCAGATGAAGCTCAGGAGGTACTCTGAAAAGGGAACTAATATTTTGCTTTGCACTTGTTGCTGTAGGTGGATAACAAGGGCCGGAATTTCCTTCATGTGGCAGTTCAGAACTCTGATATTGAAAGTGTGCTGTTCCTGATCAGTGTCCACGCTAATGTGAATTCAAGAGTCCAGGATGCCTCCAAGTTGACCCCCCTGCACCTCGCTGTCCAAGCAGGCTCAGAAATTATTGTCCGCAATTTGGTAAGTGACACAGAAGTATTGCATGTAATAATATGTTGTCAAAGCATATTGTAGAGCTTGTGCAGAATCTCATCACAGGTGCTTTGCCCGGTGTTGTGAAAGCACCTGGGGAATTTGGGGAGCGAGGCTGGTGCACTCAGGAAACTGGTGTCAAGGGCTGCACGTCCTGAGCGCCCCACTGGGCTGCGTGGGCTGCCAGATGCTAGATGGGGCCCTTCCAGAAAGCAGGATTTCAATGGTGGAGGCAGGGTGGGAGCACCGAGGAAGTGGAGATCCACTTGTGTTCTCTGTCAGGCATTCAACTGGGACTTTGAAGTGAGCTGTCTCTCTTAATTTTCAAAACCACAGAGGGGTATGAGAAATGTTTTACATTTTACAAAGGAGAAAATGTAGGCCGAGAAAGAATTTTACCCCCGAGGCTATCTAAGCAAGTAGTGCTGGATTTTAGCCTTTTCCATTGGACTCCAAAGCCTGCTTTTTCCACCCAGGCCGGGGAGGGTCTCAGTAAAGATGTGGAGATTGGGAAGTGCATGTGGTGTGTTTACGTAGGAAAGTTTGGTTGAAGTTTTAGTAGAGTTGAAAGAGCTGTGGTTAGAGGGGCAGGAAGAAAGCAGATCGTGGGGTGTCACATTTCAAACCGAGAACTGTGAGCAGCCAGTATCTTTTAGGCAGTGGAGAAACCATTGTAAGTGTTTGAGCTGAGAGAACAAGGTCCAGAGCTGAGACAGGGCCTCATCGTCTGGTCTCTGCTCCTCAGAGCTGGCTGTCGCTGGTCCCTCCTGTCAGCCCCAGACACATGCCGCAGAACTGGCCGCTAAGGCACCTGAGCAGCCTTTGGCGCCTTGGTGTCACTGTTTCTGAAAAGTGCTTTTTAGAAAAGCCTTGTGACCTGATTGTGTTTGAGCTGAGGCAGCATTTGAAGAAGGCGCCTTGGGAGTGAGGCACACAGGTGTGGGGCGGGCTCACCAGTGACGAGACCGAGCGGAGGCCGTGGCAGTGAGTGTGAACTGAGGGCTAAGGAGCGGTGGGTATGATGGTGCCAGGAACAGATTGGATGTGGGGGAAGCAGCCAAGGAGGCGGAGCTGGGTCCCAAAGTCGTAGGGAATCGGCCTCGTGTTCATCAGTCTTTATGCCTCTGTAGGGCTGGAGGAGGTTACGGTCCCTGACCAAGGACCCCGCCTTCCTGGGGCCCGGCATGACAGATGATAGGATCGCCCAGAAACACTAGAAACAGCGGGTCTTCCAGTGTCCGTGTGCTCCTTCCTCTGAATTGATGCTGCATCCTGTTTGACCCTGTTCATACTGAAACCCCTTCCCCACTCTCTCCTCCCAGTTAACCAGCTGTGGGGCCAGTTATGATCCCTAACACAGCACCAGGGACCATGAATATACATCTGTGAGACGTCCCGTATGGAGAGTCCCATATCCACTCATATGTCTTATCGATCAGTGATTAGACTGGGCGCCCAGAGTTCTGGGGAGGCTGAGACTTAGAAGTCAGGGTCCTAACCAGAGCAGCTAAGCAGCACCTAGATTTTCCCAGAGGCAGTGCCTGTACACACGGAGGAACCAGGGGTGGCCATACACCTCAGCAGCAGCAAATTGGGTTCTGACTACAGACTACATGTATTTTCTGTTTACAGCGATTGTTTTTTAAACTTTGTCAGAAAGAGGATGACGAACTTCAAATACTAAACGAATAGGTATTATGTAAAGGTCCCTCCGGCTGTGTTGATTCTGTAATTCTTTGTGTCCCTTTTTTTCTTTCTTTTTTTTTTCTTTTTCCTTTTTTGAGACATGGTCTTGCTCTGTTGCCCAGGCTGGAGTGCAGTGACCTGATCACAGCTCGCTGCAGGCTTGACCTGCCAGGCTCAATCAATCCTCCCATCTCATCCTCCCGAGTAGCTGTGATTACAGGTGCACACCATTACACCCAGCTAATTTTTAAATTTTTTGTAGAGATGAGGTTTTGCCATGTTACCTGGGTTGGTCTCGAACTTCTGGGCTGAAGCAATCCGCCCGCCTCAGTCTCCCAAAGTGCTGGGACTACAGGCCTGAGCCACTGCACCCGGCCTGTGTTCTTTCTTTTAAAAAACAGGCCGGGTGCAGTGGCTTATGCTGTAATCCCAGGACTTTGGGAGGCCAAGGTGGGAGGATCACTTGAGGCCTGGAGTTTGACACCAGTCTGGGCAACATAGCAAGACGTTGTCTCTACAGAATTTTTCTTTTTTTTAATTAGCCAGGTATAGGGTCACATGCCTGTGGTCCTGGCTACTCAGGAGGCTGAGGTGGGCCAATCATCTAAGCCCAGGCGTTCAAGGCTGCAGTGAGCTATGATGGTACCACTGCACTCCAGCCTGGGTGACACAGCAAGTTGCTGTCTCAAGAAATAATAAATAGAAAACAATAGTGAAATAGTACATACTCATTGTGGAAAAACTCAAAGCATGTAAGGATGTGAAACAGATAGTGTCTCTCTTTGAGTCCCAGCTCTTCGGAGTATGGCATTTATGCTTTGAAACACCTTCCAAGTGCCTCTGTGCCTGCATGCTTGTGTGTACACAGAGCTCTGTCTTCCCCAGATGGAATCATACTATCTTCTAATTTGCAAGGTTTTTTAAACTTACTTGTCATCAACATCTTTCCATGTTAATCGATAAATATTTATCATCTTACTCTACTGTTTGTACCTATTACAATTTTTTACAACCAAACCCCTTTGCCTTCAGGCTTTCCTATTCCAAGCAGTAGACACCCGTAGATAGTACAGCGGCCATCACTGCAGTCCTGCACAGCTTTTATACACGAAAACCTTAGAAGTAGAGTTTCTGCATCCCAAGGAATGGCTCTTTAACATTTTGATAGGTAATTGCCAGTTTGCCCTTGGCACGGGTTTTGCTGGTTTCTGCTTCAGCAGGAGTGTGTGTGAAGCTCCTATGCTCCCAGCTCTGTCAGCAGGGCAGGCCATCAGCCTCTGTGGGTGTCAGAAGACAAGCAGGCTCGGCCCCCATAAGGGGGATCTTGATTGTGGCAGAGAGACTGACTGTTCATGTAATGAACTTCAACAGCTTCTTGCGGGAGCCAAAGTGAACGAATTAACCAAGCATCGCCAGACTGCCCTCCATCTTGCTGCCCAGCAGGACCTGCCCACCATCTGCTCAGTCCTCCTAGAGAATGGCGTGGACTTTGCTGCCGTGGATGAGAATGGAAACAATGGTAACTCCCAGTCATTCTTTAGTGGCTTGAACGATCCCTCCATTCTAGGGGTGGGGGTGCAGTGCACCCTTGGGTCTGCTCCCCACTGGGGAGGTTGGCTTTTACAGGAGCAAAGCTGTGACAGGAAGTGCTCTGGGTAGAGCATCCAACCTGCGACTGCCCAGGCCTTGGGCAGCCTCCCCATCTGAGTGGGAGCCCTGGAAGCCCACACTGCCTCCTTGGGAAACTGTTAAATCTCACCTTTGGGTAACTGCTGAAGCAGAAGGCACAGCACAGAGCAATCATGAGATTGCATTTGTGATGCATCCTTGAGGGCGGTGAAGACCAGAAAGGATGGCTCTGTGCGTGGCCAGTCGCTGCTGTGGCCGGGTCCCATTTACAGAGAGGTCTGTGAGGGTGAGGAGGAGTGGAGGTTTTTCTGCATGTGCTTCTGGGCTTGCATAGTAAGAGGATTTACTTCCCAGCTCTTCATCTTGCTGTCATGCACGGCCGGCTCAACAACATCCGGGTTCTCCTGACAGAGTGCACAGTGGACGCCGAAGCCTTTAATCTCAGGTGAGCGCGTTGGGCCCGAGTAGGCCCCGCGGCGCCTGGCCTGCTGCTCAGAGCTGCTGGTTGCTGGTGCCTCCCATCAGCCCCAGGGAGGAGCTGCAAAACCGGCCGCTGGGGCACCTCACCAGCTTCGGGTACTTTATTTTGGTACTTTTGGTACCGGTATTTTTGTTTTAATAAAAAATGCTTCTTAAAAGGTTTGGCCGGGCGCAGTGGCTCGCGCCTGTAATCCCAGCACTTCGGGAGTCCGAGGCGGGCGGATCACGAGGTCAGGAGATCGAGACCGTCCTGACTAACTTGGTGAAACCCCGTCTCTACTAAAAATACAAAAAATTATCTGGGCGTGGTGGCGGGCGCCTGTAGTCCCAGATACTCAGGCTGAGGCAGGAGAATGGCGTGAACCCGGGAGGCGGAGCTTGCAGTGAGCCGAGATCGCGCCACTGCACTCCAGCCTGGGTGACAGAGCGAGACTCCGTCTCAAAAACAAACAAAAAAACTTTTGTTATGCATGCACTTAGGTTACAGTAAAATACAAAATAAGAAAAAGAAAAACTTTTGTGACTTGTTTTGTGTCTTTTAGATTTATCCACCATCACAGAGTTCAGAAAATTCTATTTATTTTGTGTGTGATGGCCATGGCAGATACATTCCTAACTTTTCCAACTTGTTTTATCAGAGGCCAGTCACCACTGCACATTTTGGGACAATATGGCAAGGAGAATGCAGCGGCCATCTTTGATCTCTTCCTAGAATGCATGCCGGGGTATCCTCTGGACAAGCCGGATGCAGACGGCAGCACGGGTGTGTACCAAGGGCTGGGTATGTCCCGTCTCACTTGCGCACCTTGCTTCCTGGAAAAGCAAGAGCCCAGGCACACGTCGTTATCTGAGGGCGTTCAGCTCGCAGAACAGTTCTGTTGGGCCCTCCGGGTGTGAGTTACAGAGCCCTGTTGTGGAGTCTGGGGTGTCTGATTTTAGACACTGTCCCATCTCAAGTGCATGTAGCGCTCTGAAACCATCCATACCCTTCTCCAAACAGGCCTCTCCACCTGTTTTTATTTCCCTCATTTGCCTTTTGTCCAGTCAAATAGGGTCCTATGCAAGCTCCCAAATTCTAGCAGAGGAAGAAAATAGAAGCATCTCACAGGATCTTCAAAAGGAAGAAATGTGCTAGATCATGTGTCGGCATGCTCTGAGAAAGTGGCAAACTACCCAGATACACGGGGTGCCTTCTTATGCAGAGGGCTACAGGCCTCTCATGGTTGCTCTGGGTACCCGTGATCACTGTGTTCATTCGTGTGGCCCTCCTAGCTTTTCCGGTGACTCTCGCGTTCGTTTTCTTGCCGAGGACTCACGGCAGCCTCATAAGGGAAGCAGTGCATAGTTGTATCCCCGTTTTTCGGGTAAGGAAAAGTAACCCCATAAAGCAAAACCAGATGTCTCATCCCAGCCCAGAGCCCTCTGCGCAGCTGTGTGGCTGCTGCATTCCCATTCACTCACCTCTGTGGTCTTGGCAGAAATGGAGTCACCATGGGGTTGTCTGAACCTTAACATGGGACCACATATTTTATCACCATTTTTCTCTTGGTCTTGAGAGGAGTTTGTGGCCTTTGCTACGTGCGCACTGTTTTTTAAGCTTCAGAGGAGTCCGCCCCTGGGAGGGAGTGAGCAGCACGTACTCAGCAGCACCTTGCCCAGGAGCAGGGAAACAGGAACAGGCAGCAGGGAGGGGCTCCGTGTTGAGGTCCCCGGTTTACAGAGACCTGTGTGCAGATGCCTGGCCCTGTCGCATTCTAGCAGGGTGACTGGGTGCATTCTCCCTCATAGGCCTGCTTCCTCATTTGATAGTGGGAAGAATAACCCTCATCTTATTGTATGATTTTCAGAGTTAAATGAAAGAAACCCGGCATCTGGGATAGGGAAGCAGAGGGAGCGACAGTTAGCTGTAATTGTTCGTAGGGAAGGCCAGCAGGTTGGCCTGGCCAGAGCATGGGTTCCCACGGGCTCCACGGGGTGGAAGAACTTTCTGGAGCGTGTTCCTAATACTGATTTTTCTTCTCCATGTGTACACAACTCGTAGGTTTAGATTTAGTTACATTGGGTGAAAAGAGCTTTGTCCTTTGTGGAGAAACCAGTGTTTCATGCCAGAGGAAGGCAACTGAGACCACAGTAGATGATTCCCTCTGTGTTGAATCCCTCCCCACCTGCGCGACCTCAGCTCTCTTGCAGCCCAAGCTCTACGTGGGAAAGACTGTGTCTTGGAAACGGCAGCTGCTCTAGAATTCTTTGGCTCGTGGCCACATCCTTTATTGGAAGATGCTACAGGTTGTCCACAGTTCTCTCCAGAGCCTCGGGGCCCCCGTATGTCTGTGGGGACTTTGTGAACAGATTTCCTGCCAGCGGTCTGTTCTGCCCTTGGCTGTCCTCCGCCCTCCGTCTGTGGCTGCCGGGCTGGGCCGGGTGGGAAGTAGCCCTGCGCGTGCTTTTGTTTTCCAGTGCTGCTCCTGGCATACATGAAAGGGAACGCCAACTTGTGCCGCGCCATCGTCCGGTCGGGGGCTCGCCTCGGGGTGAATAACAACCAGGGAGTCAACATCTTCAACTACCAGGTCGCCACCAAGCAGCTCCTGTTCCGACTGCTGGGTGAGTGGCCCGCTCTCTGCTCTCACAGTGCAAGCACAGTCGTAGTGTTGGGATCGCCATGTATTGTATTGGTGATCTTTCAATCTCATGATGCCTTAGGATCGGAACCGCTCGTTTCCTGGCAGTAGCTGGGACCATTTCTCTGAATAAGGGAAGGACTTTTGAGCGTGTTGGGAAGGTCACTGTGAACAGTCTCTTTTCAAAGCACTCTGCCTTGTGCATTTCCCACACCCCACAACCTTCTAGAAATGCCAAAGCTCCAGGCAGGCCACCCTTCCTGTGTGTCCTGGCCACTTACCTGCACACCTGTCCTCTTGAGACTGACTCAGATCCTCCAGAACCTTCAAAATGGCCTGCTGCTCCAGCCCCTATCAGCTCTCCTTCCCCTGTGACCCTTTTGTGGAAAGGAGTGCTTCCCTCCTGATTTCATATTTGTGAATCTTTACTCTTCCCTGCTGAGGTGACAGAAAGAATCAGAATGTCTCGAGTGCCTGTGCTGTGTCATCACCCACAGTGGGGAGAGACAGGCAGGAAAACAAGCTCCGACATCCCCGGTAGCCATGGGATGGCGATGCACAGGACCTGCCCAGGGGGCACAGCTGGTCTGTGGTGGAGTCGGGTTGAAGGACAGCATTTGTGACATCTGGTCTACTGCACCTTCCCTCTGCCGTGCACTTGGCCTTTGAAAAGCTCAGCACCGGTGCCCATCACAGGGCCGGCAGCACACACATCCCATTACTCAGAAGGAACTGACGGACTCACGTGCTGCTCCGTCCCCATGAGCTCAGTGGACCTGTCTATGTAGAGCAGTCAGACAGTGCCTGGGATAGAGTGAGAGTTCAGCCAGTAAATCCAAGTGATTGTCATTCCTGTCTGCATTAGTAACTCCCAAACTAGATGTGAAAACTTAGTTCTTTCTCATAGGTTGCTCTGCCCATGGTCCCACTGCAGACCCAGGCACTCTCCGGAAGCCTGGAAATCACCCGTGTCTTCTGCCTGCTCCCGCTCACATCCCACACTTGTGTTCAGTCACTGAGTTACAGATTTTGCCTCCTCAATTTCTCTTGTCTTAGTCCCATCCTCTGTTCCCCTGGCCAGTTTGTCTAGCTGTGTGGTCTCTGTTCTCTCCCTACCGTGCCTTCCATCCCAGCCATCCCTGACTACGTGTTTCCCCCACAGACATCACACTGGTTCACCTCGTTGACCACCGTTTCCTTCTCCCCAAGTCTCCCGGGCAAGGGCTGATTCTCCAGTCTCCTCTGGGAAGCTGGCCCTGAACCACTTAGAACCTATCGCTCCTTCGTCACCTATGTCATGTGGCAGCGCTGCCTCACTTACGGGTCTGTGTTCCTGCTGCCTCCAAGCCCTGGGGCTTGCGTGGCGCCGTCGCGGTTTGACGGGACCGGGCCTCCCCCCTGTGTTGCAGATATGCTGTCCAAGGAGCCTCCGTGGTGTGACGGCTCCTACTGCTATGAGTGCACTGCCAGGTTCGGAGTCACCACTCGCAAACACCACTGGTAAGACCCCAGCGTCACTGGCAAGGAGCGAGGGGACTGCCGCTGATGTCATTGCTTCCCCCCTTCTCCAGGACAGGCCGTGAACTTGCCTGGGTCCTGCACATTGATGGGCAAACCTTGACCAAATGGAGGGATGAGATGAGCACACCCAAGGATCCTACTGAGGAACAGAGATGTAGGGAAGGCAGGGAGCCTGCAGACGGGTGGCTTTCCTGCTGGAGGCTGAAGGTGCACAGTTTCCAGGCAGCCTGCCAGGCCTGTGCCATCCTTCCTGACTTCCTGCCTGCACCAAAGCTGAGATGAGCTACTGCCCTCATGGTGTGCCTCAGTATGGGCCGCTTTGCCGAGAACTAAGGGGCTGTTCCCATTAAAATGAGATAGATAGGTCGGGTGCGGTGGCTCATGCCTGTAATCCCAGCACTTTGGGAGGCAGAGGCAGGCGGATCGCTTGAGGTCAGGAGTTCGAGACCAGCCTGGCCAACATGGCGAAACCCCGTCTCTACTAAAAATACAAAAATTAGCTGGGGGTCGTCAAAACCCTGTCTTTACTAAAAATACAAAAATTAGCTGGGGGTCGTGGTGGGCACCTGTAATCCCAGCTACTTGGGAGGCTGAGACAAGAGGTTGCAGTGAGCTGAGATCACGCCACTGCACTCCAGCGTGGCCCACAGAGCGAGACTTCATCTCAAAAAAGAAAAAAGGAAAAAAAAAGATAGTGCTGAGCTGCTCTCTTTTTGTTTGTTTTTGAGACATAGTCTTGCTCTATTACCCAGGCTGAGTACAGTGACACGAGCTCGGCTTACTGCAATCTCCACTTCGCGGGTTCAAGCGATTCTTATTCCTCAGCCTCCTGAGCAGCTGGGATTCAGGCATACGCCACCACGCCCAGCTAATTTTTGTATTTTTAGTAGAGACGGGGTTTCACCATGTTGGCCAGGCTGATCTTGAAACCCGTGCCCTCAAGTGATGCGCCTGCCTCAGCCTTCCAAAGTGCTGGGATTACAGGCGTGAGCCACCATGCCTGGCCTGAGCTGCTCTTGATCTTCCAAAAAAAAAAAAAAAAGCCTTCTTCAGTATTGCTTTAACTTGATGATTGACTAGAGTTTTGTTTTCATAGACTAAAAATTCTACATGAATTGTGGTAACCGGGCTGGCAGTTGGCAGAGTTGCCAGAGTAGCATTGCGGGCGCCTTGGCTGCCAGGCCCTGCTGCGGTTGTCCTCACGTGCCAGGAAGCAGAGTCTGTCGTTGGCGCTCCTCTCATACTTCCTTTCTTTGCTTCCACAGTCGTCACTGCGGACGTCTTCTTTGCCATAAATGCTCGACCAAGGAGATTCCTATTATAAAGTTTGATCTGAACAAGCCTGTGCGGGTTTGCAACATTTGTTTTGATGTACTGACTCTGGGTGGGGTTTCTTAGTGAGCCCCCCGGAGGGTCCAGGCCACGTCCTTGGTCACCTCCCCAGCAGCTGCTCTGCTCACCAGCCTGACCCCACCCAGAGCAGGAGCTGGCGGGTGTCTTCCTGCGGCAATAGACTGGAACGATTAAGGACCATGGTGTGATAGATCCCATTTCAAATGATTCCATATGATTGTCAGTGTGTGTGTCAGACTGTGATCGATTTCACTAGATGTCTCACTCATCAGACCAGGCCATTGGGCCTAAGTGGTAAATGTGATTAGGAATTAGACCTCTCCCCATTCTGCTAGCAACATACAGGGACACTTGGAAAACCATTTCCCCTTCCAGTAGCTTGGTGTCCATCCCAGAGCATTCATGAAGTCTTCCCGCCTGGGCTGACTGATGAGGCAGAGCCTCTCAGCGTAGGAAGCTGGCTGCTTAATGAGCTGGCTTTACTCTAGGGTAAGTGGCTGTGGACTTTTCTGCACAGTGTTTTCATAAAGATAATAGGATCCTCTTGCCCTGAAGTCTTTTTTTCTTTTTACGCTAAGCTGTATTTTTAGTGAGCTACCCCTTTTAAAAAGGTGAAATCTTTCTTAACAGGGTTCAAAGATGAGAGCTGAAAAATCGTGGCCTTAACAACTGAAAGCTTTACAGTGTTCATGCTACTGAGGTGTCAGGAGTGCAGCTGGGCCGCTTGACACCTCGTAGCAGCCGTCTCATTCTCTCGTCTTGCTGCGTCCTGTCTGTGGAGTCCTCAGTCACTCTGCTGTTGGAGAGTGCTGGAGGAAATGCACTTTTACTGTGCTGCACTTTTTATAGAGCTGCATTGTCGGTGATTCCAATTTAAAAATCCATATTCAAAAATACCCTCACACATCCCTGCATCAGTGATTCTAATGATCAGCTTTGACTGGACCTCAGCTCACACGAATCTCCAAGGAAAAACTCTACAGAGCATCTTTTAGAGCAAGAGATTCATACAGGCCAAGTGATGAGAGGGGGAGTCACCAAGGCTTCAGCCCCAAGGGCATCTCCAGCCTCAGGCCGGCAGGTCCTATGTCCTTGACACAAATGCTTCTTGCTGAAATCCTCCCTAGTGATGCTGCGAGTGCTGTTGGTCCCAGTTCTGTGTAGCTTGCCCTGCCCCATGAAGGGCCACCAGCCAAGGGCCCTGGCCACGTGTGCGCCACCTTACTTTGGAAGTCTCTGGCTTGTGTGCTGGATGAGGCTGCCAGAACTTGTTGGGCGTTCATCGCTGTTAGTACATATATTAACCGTGAGGTGTTAAACTTTTCTTTTGAAGGTTTGGCCAGTTTCTAAAAAATGCACATTTAAAGAGAAGCATCTACCACGGCTTTAAAACAAAACAACTCTGAGATGAACAATATGTGTTATACTCAGAGATTAACAATCTCAATCATACATACTGATTCTTTCAGACATTTAATAACCACTACATTTTTTTGCATTAATGAAGTTTGACTATATGTGTAAAGGGACTAAATATTTTTGCAACAGCCTGTTCTTTGTTCATTCTTTTCTGGATAGTGTGTCCTCTGTATTGCGGTAGATTTATACATTCTGTTGCCTAAATATGTGTGTAAAATGAGCTGATAAACTGGAGTACTACTTAAAAAAAAGTCTGTGATTTATAAGATGTATATGCTTTCTATGTGAATATAAGCTTGTGCACAATGTTTAAAAGAAAAACAATGAATTAGAAGAGATCCCCCGTCCCCCAGTCTGACATATTTCATACAGAATGTTTAAAAGAAAAACTCTGCTAGTCTTGGCAAACATTTGGCCATGTGAGGCATGTGGTCAGTTTCCATTTTCTATTACCTGGAAAGGGCCATAAGGAAGCAGGCAGGGCTTAGGTAGCTTGGTTACCTAAGTTAGAAAGTAAGAGAATCATGATTCGGATATGAATTGAAGTGGTTGGTACATGGATACCTGTTCTTTAAAAGGAATGTGGGAGATGAGTCAAGGGTGAGGCCGATTGTTCTGCCCATGCCCTACCATACCAATTTCAATAACAATCTTGCCTGTCATTGCACTCAGAATCTTAAGATCATGTTTCAAATATGTTGATTCAAACTTGCTTCTAAGCCTGAGTCCAGGGATAGCAATGGTACTGACCAGCTATGGACTGGGAGAACATTGAGTCCTGTTTTCCATTGGCTTCAGGGCGCATCCATGTGGATATAGGAAAAGCCTCTTTCCACAGACTTAGGAAGCCCCCCGACCACGCGGACGCTCGCTGGGCTGCACTCAGCAGGCTGCTTGAGTGGGAGCTGACTCCAACATGCCCTGCCCTGGCTGGGACTAGGCATGCTTCCAGCCCTTCCCGTGCTCTCCCTGCTGTCAACACTTGCGTACAAACCTGCCTAGCTGTTGTAAGTTTTCATCAGTAGCTTAAGTACTAGTAGCAAAAACTTAAATTCATTCAGAAAGTTGCCACTTCTGAATGAGTAGAGCAGGAAAAGTAAACTTTACTGAAACATAATTTGCTGCAACAGTCAACATTGTTATGCTGAATGTGCTCTCAACTGCCCTTTGCTCATCGCCAGATTTATTATCCAGTGTATTCCTAACAGTCTTTTGTTGTCGTTGTTTTTAAAACAAAGGTACGGACCATGTGCTATATATAAATCGAATGGCTTAAACTAATTTGCTATGATCCTCTAACACCGAAATTTCCCATAAACTTAAGTGCCTACACTTAGGACTTTTGAACTTTCAGTCATCTTTTTCGTGGTGTCTCACTGAACGATGTGTTAGAACATGTGTTCCATTTGGAGTTTTGGGCCTGTGCACGGTCAACCCCAATTACCAATTTAGTTGAGGCTGGATTCGATTGCTCAGTTCACCTGCCACGTTCTCTCCAAGGAGTGGGGTCTACGTGACCTTTAGTCCTCTACCTCAGAGCCCCGAGTCATTTCTGACCACCCCGTTCTGTGTCCTCACTCTTGTCCCTGAATGGGTCCCTGTGTGGATCTCAGTGTGTGTGTGGTTTCTCCACTCCTCCCCGCTCATGTCCCACACCTGCCATATTGAACCGTTTCTGCACTAATCTTCTCCACGGGCACGGAGTGGAGGGAACGTCTTGGGAAAGGGGAGAGCTTGACCTCCATCTAGGTTTCTTTTATCTGGAGAAAAAGAACACTTTTGAACTATGTAATGCTTCACCCTGAAAGGCAAGCTAACGCTAACTTCCCAGGTGACAGTAGCAGGAACAAGGAAGGGTAATGTTTCCATGACAGACACTTGCTTCCCTTGGGACAAGTCCCAGAAGAACTACCTGAAGCACCAAAGCTCCCCACCCCAGCCTGGTGGCAGAGGAAGCAGGTGGCACCAACTCACCAAAGGGACTTGGGAGCCACCTTCTCACTCTGTGGAAGTACTTTAGTGAGAGCTGACTGGCAAGATAAAAACCCTGAAATTCCCAGAAGTTACAGATGCCTTAAAGACTTTCTTTGGAAGATCATTGCCTGTACTATTCCTTTTTTGTGTGGCATAAATAATATATTAACCTGTTACAACTGACAACATTGGTTTTCTGCAGCTAGGGAGTCTTGAGTCGAGACTGCTCGCCTTGATGACTTGCTCTTTTTTGGCAGATGTGTGGAGTTGGCTGTTACGACATCCCTGTGTGATCCCAGAGGAGGGGCAGTAGCTGGGCAGAAACTGCAGGCACACATTTGGGTGGATCACCTGGCTTCCAGCCCCTTCGGGGTGGTGCTCAGTGTGGGGTGATGGTATCATAGAGGACCACGGCGCTTATCAGCATTGTTTCTTTGGAGTCTGTGTAATGGAATGTATTTTTCAAATACTGATATTTGCATTTTCTGTAACAATTCCTTATAATAAAATGAAGTAAAATTGTGCATTTAAAGTGGAAACTTTAATAAGACATTTGTAGTTACTTCTAATGCAGAAGTACCAATAAGCATTAAAAACAAATTTTAGAAAACTCCTGACGTGAATAAGTTTCTTGACCAGCTGCCCTCCAGAAAGTTTGAATTCCAACATTTTTCAGGAACATGCTGTTGACAGCAGTAAAAGTAGCTATTTTATGTATGTATTTTTAATTTTTAAAAGTTTCAGTAGGTTTTTGGGGTTCAGGTGGTGTTTGGTTACGTGAGGTTCTTTAGCGGTGATTTCCAGGATTTTGGGGCACCCATCACCCAAGCAGTGTACACTGGACCCTTTTATCCCTCACCCCAACCCTTTCCCCTGAGCCCCCAAAGTCCACTGTATCATTCTTAATGCCTTTACGTCCTCATGGCTTAGCTCCCGAAAAGTAGTTATTTTAAACATACTAGCTGCCTGAACTTACTGTGCCCTTGGCCCAGATTTCAGCTCATAGCACCGAGCGTGATCACTGAGGCAGTCTCAGTCACCGTCACCTGACCCCTCTGAAGTTCTCAAGAGGATCCACTCATGAGGAGCTTTCTGCTGGCCGAGGCGTGAAGGGCGACTGGCACTGTGGGTTTCAGAGAATGCTAAGGACAGTTTCAGGCCTTGCAAATTAAAACCTAGTGATCCATAAAGCCCCTGTACAAATCACTACCAATCAAGCAGCTCACGTGGCCCTCACGCTGTCCTGAGCAAATGTATTCCCTTTTTCCTGTCTTCCATTTTGCTTACCCCTAGGTCAGACTAGCTGTGGTGATTGATAGAGCTCATAAAGCTCATTCTCCAGTGGCTTTTCTCCTAGTTAATATGCATGTGAAGTGTTTCCACAGGACAATCCCAAGTAATCCTCACAGCTGCCCTTGAGGCGAACAGTGCTAACCACGCTGTCACTGGTTATGATAAGCGAAGCACAAACAGTAACCAGGCACATCAACTTCCACACGTTTGCCCAGCCAGGGAGAGCACTGGGTTTTAGTTCTGCTTTTTTATTCATGAGCTGAGAGTTCTGGGCGAGTTTCCTAACTTCTTTGCCTCTGTTTCCCTATCTACATAATGGGGGCGGGACTGTAGTCCTTAACTGACAGGGTTGCCTGGAGGAAGGTGATCAGTAATGTGTCCTTCTCATCCAAGTACCCGGATTCTGGTGTGTGCACCGCAGGCTCTTCTGGCAGTATCTGCTGCCACCGGAAGAAATCTGGGGGCTCTGGCAGTAGGAAGTACTCTCAAGGCTAGGGTCCAGCCTAGGGTTGTTGCCCTTCTCTGAGGCACCCACAGACTTCTGAGCAGGCACAGTCCTAACCTCCCCATTGGGGCCAGCTTTCAGAGTACAGCTTTGCCTAGAGCAAAGTGAGTGTGGGGCGGGGCGGGGGTCACGCAGTGGCTCAGCTGTGACCAAAAAACGTCAGACTCTTCACTCTTAGATGTTTATAGAAAACTGTAATCTCAGAATGAAAAGGCAAATGTTGAAACTTCTTTCAAGATGACTTCTTTATTTTTGGGTTTTGTTTGTTTGTTTTGGGAGAGTCTCTCTCTGTCGCCCAGGCTGGAGTGCAGTGGTGTGATCTCGGCTCACTGCAGCCTCCACCTCCCCAGTAGCTAGGACTGCAGATGCGTACCACCACACCCAGCTAATTTTTGTATTTTAGTAGAGATGGGGTTTCACCATGTTGGCCGGGCTGGCCTCCATCGAACTCCTGGCTTCAAGAGATCCGCCCACCTTGGGCTCCCAAAGTGCTGGGATTATAAGCGCCCGGCCTCCTTCACAATGTTGGAGTGGAGTGCAGCTGCAAAGGCTTTGCCTTGACACTGTGCTCACTGGTGTGGCAGAGATCAGACTCGCATCACAAAGCCCAGCTCTGTCACCCGACGGTTGATGTAACTATTAGAAGAGGTGGGGAGATATTTATGCCCCTTTTCTGGGCCATAAAATGGGAACTTCTCAAGGCAGGCATAGAGATTAAATGAGAACAAGGCCTGGCCCAGCATAGTTGCCCAATATGTATGTTTTCTCCTTCCCTTCCTTCTGCCAGCAAGTCTAACTGCATGCTCAGCCTAAGCTGAGCTTATCTGTGGCTTCCATCAGGGCCTTGCCCTTCCTCCCCCATGGTTTTGCCCAGGGCCACCTGTACTGGAGAGGGAAAGGCCAGGCATTTCTCCAGTAATTACCAGCTTCTCATGGCTGAGCCCTTCAGGCCATTAAAATGACAACCTACTCTTGCTGAACCTAATTCTTTGCTGAATCCTTTGCCCTGACATGAGAGATGTGTTACCAGATTAAGTAGGAAGGTAAGTACCATAAGGTAAGTATCAAAAAGGAAATGAATTCTCAACTGAGCAAGGAACAGAGCAGGCTGCTGAAGCCAGCCAAGTCTGTCCTGGAGCCTGCACGCAGGGCTCTTGCATCAGTCAGAGATCAGGTACCCTCTAGGCACGGCCAGAGCCCGCAGCTGGCTGGAATGACTAATGCTCCTTTTTGTTTGTTTGTTTTTTGAAGGATCAGAACATCTTGGGACCTGGCCCTCACACTCTCCCTGCATTCCTACCGCAAGGACAGCCTCTGGCTGCTCTACTGGGTTTATTCCACCATACTATAAGCCCCCTGAGGTCGGAAGCCTTGCTTCCTCGACCACCCAACCCTAACGTGATGCCTGGCACATAGTAGGTTCTTGGTAAGTTATTTGCTGAATGACTAAGGAGGACTAAATCATGGGCAGTAACTAGTTTCCAGTTAGCATGGAGTTGGGGGCTGTTTCTGGTTAATAGAGAAGTCTCAGCACTGAGCTCAGGGACTGCCTAGAACTCAGAAGAAAATCCTAATTTCAGCTCTTCTTTCTGTCTGCTCCTGGTCCTGCCCCAGGGAGGGCAGAGACATACAGAAATATGGAGGAGTGAAAATGGCACCGAATCAGGCATCCAGAGCTTTGAGTTCTAGGCTCAGGTCCATGCTCAGTGACTTAAGTTCTATGTGCCTTTATTGCCTTATCTCCAAAAAGTGCGGTGGCTCACGCCTGTAATCCCAGCACTTTGGGAGGCCGAGGTGGGCAGATTGCTTGAGCCCAGGAGTTGGAGACCAGGCTGGGCAACAAGGTAAAACCCCATCTCTACAAAAATAAAAAACTAGCCGGGCATGCTGGTACGTGCCCATCATCCCAGCTACTCGGGAGGCTGAAGTGGCAGAATCTTTTTGAGCCCGGGAGGTCAAGGCTGCAGTGAGCTATGATCACGCCACTGCACTCCAGCCTGGGCAACAGAGTAAGACCCTGTCTCAAAAAAAGAAACAACTCTGCACGAACTTCCCACACGCTAGGTGCGGTGGATATAGGGGTACAGCGCTGAGTAAAGTGGATTATAGGGGCATGGTGCTGAGTCACGTGGATATAGGGGTGAGGAGCTGAGTCACATGGATATGGGGTAAGGCTCTGAGTCATGTAGATATAGGGGTACAGCGCTGAGTAATGTGGATTATAGGGGTACGGCACTGAGTAAAGTGGATTATAGGGGTACGGAGCTGAGTTGCGTGAATGTAGGGGTACAGCGCTGAGTTGTGGATATAGGGGCACAGAGCCGAGTCGTGGATATCGGGGTATGGAGCCGAGTCGTGGATACAGGGGTACGGCGCTGAGTCATGTGGATACAGGGGTACGGAGCTGAGTCATGTGGATTATAGGGGTACGGAGCTGGGTCGTGGATATAGGGGTACGGAGCTGAGTCATGTGGATTATAGGGGTACGGAGCTGAGTCATGTGGATATAGGGGTACGGAGCTGAGTCGTGGATATAGGGGTACGGCGCTGAGTCATGTGGATTATAGGGGTACAGAGCTGAGTCATGTGGATATAGGGGTACGGCGCTGAGTCATGTGGATATAGGGGTACGGCGCTGAGTCATGTGGATATAGGGGTACGGACAGTCGTGGATTATAGGGGTACAGAGCTCAGTCATGTGGATATAGGGGTACATAGCTGAGTCATGTGGATATAGGGGTACGGAGCTGAGTCATGTGAATATAGGGGTACGGAGCTGAGTTGTGGATATAGGGATATGGAGCTGAGTCGTGGATATAGGGGTACGGAGCTGAGTCATGTGGATATAGGGGTATGGAGCTGAATCACACTGGGGCTCTGTCCTCAGAGTGTCTGAGGTCCAGTGCAAGAGGTTGATAGGAAGTTCATGGTAAGAGCCCACTGTGATATGAGCACAGCCATGGAGCAGGGAAAGTGCGTCTATAGCTCACTGCTGGCCCAACAGTTAATGAAGGCTCCCAAGAGGGGCCTGATTGAGCTGAATATTGAAGCAATACGGGGTGGATTAATTCAACGGAGGAAGAAGCGTCATTCCAGGCAAAAGAAACAGCTTGTGTGAAGGCACTGCAGACATAACGCAGTGAGAGGGAGGCTGGACAGGAGGTGCACATGGGAGGAGATGGGAAAGGTACAGGCCTAAGAGGAGAGAGGCCACAGAAGGGCCTCGTGTGGCACGCAGCAGAGGAGCTGGCACTCAGTCCTTATAGATCAGGGGAGCCCCTGAGGAGGCTTAAATGGGGGATGCCTTGATCATCTTTAAGAAAGAGCTTGGCCAGGTGCGGTGGCTCACGCATGCAATCCTGGCACTTTGGGAGGACGAGGTGGGTGGATCACAAGGTCAGGATTTCGAGACCAGCCTGACCAACATAGTGAAACCCCATCTCTACTAAGAGTACAAAAATTAGCTGGGTGTAGTGGCACGTGCCTGTAATCCCCAGCTACTTGGGAGGCTGAGGCAGGAGAATCGCTTGAACCCAGGGAGTGGAGGTTGCAGTGAGCCAAGATTGTGCCACCGAGGTTGCAGTGAGCCGAGATCGCGCCACTGTACTCCAGCCTGGGCAAAAGAGCAAGACTCCATCTCAAAAAAAAAAAAAGAAAGAAAGAAAGAAAGAAAGACGGCTCCCAGCAGTGTGGAGGAGGGATTGGAGGGAGGGAGTACAGTTAGGATCCTTCAGTAATCCAAGTGAGAAATGACAGCCTAGGCCAGAGGAAGAGTACTAGGGACAGATAAGAGGGAAGGAAAGGGAGAGAATGAGGGAGGCAGAGGTCCCAGGACCTGCAGGCGGGTTAGGAGGAGGGAAGGGAGGATGGAGTGTGGACGGCTGCTCGGATGCTGACTCTGCGTGTAGCTGGTGGTGCCATTCCCTTGGAGAACTAGAAGCAGCATGGGAGGGGAAGGTGAAATGCTCTGCAAAGCTGCCTGGAGTAGACGTGCAGGTTTGACGGTCTAAGTAACTGTCGGATTTGGAGTGAGAGGAGCCAATGGGAAGGGGTTTGTGGAGGCAAAACGGGGTTCTCAAGGCAATTAAGAAGGAATGGGCAGAGGCAAAAAGGGAAGCAGGATAAAGCCCAGCGAGGGTTTCATGGAGGACCCCACGGTCCACAGTATCCAGAGTGACAAAGCCTAGGTAAGAACTGGATGTGACCACGGAATGTGCCAATGCAGAATTTCTCCTGATTTTTAGAGCAAATGGAGCTGAAAAGCAAAGCTAGTGAGTATAAGCCAAAACTGGAGTTGAGGGAATGTTTATGATGTGAGAGAAGTGAGCTGTTTGATGCATACCTGGGGGAAGATCCAGGAGACGGGGAGAGGTTAAAGGTACAAGAGGGGCAGGTGAGGAGGATGGCGGGGGCAGGCAAAAGGAGCCATGAGCCAGAGCCCAAGTGTAAGGAACAGCTGTGGCCATAGGGGCAATAAGCCCGGGTCTGCCAGTGAGGGGACAGGGGCAGTGAGCACGGGTCTGCCAGTGAGGGGACAGGGGCAGTGAGCACGGGTCTGCCAGTGAAGGGGACAGGGGCAGTGAGTACGGGTCTGCCAGTGAAGGGGAGGCAGCCTCCATTTTCTAGTCTGTGAATCTGGAAAGCGATTTAGTGAAATGAATGATGGAGAAAAAGGAGACAGTGACAGAGAGGGAGGAAGCTGGTGGATGTTGAGGGTGAGACTGAGCGGCAAAGGGAGCTGGGTGGAAGCTCTGATGAGGCGATGCACAGAGGCCGTGGCGCTGTCTGTGGTAGTGCTGGTCCCACTTCTCTGTCTGAAGTAGGAACACTCCTTGCCCCCATCTACCTTCACAAGTAGTCAAGAGGTAACAGGTATGACATTGCCAGATGACGCTGGACATACAAACCACTGGACAAGCAGCAAGCCCAGCCACCTTAAGTTTGAAGCCTTGCCCAAGCTTTAATGTCATGCTAACCAGTTACCTTGTTAGAGCTGGGAAGCCACCTTTTGCTCAAAATGCAGACTTCTGCCTTTGAAAACACACCACACCTGATTTTAAGTGCTTAAAGGACAGAAAATGTCGTTGCTTTAAATTGTTGCTTTGTTCAGAGACATCTGGATTTGCTGTATCCATACAAGCAAAAGCTTTTCCAATTCCAGAATCAACCCACACTAATTTGTTATTGCCTCGTACTGTATTGGCCCAGCTGTAATCAACTCAGCAGGCTTTTGGTTGTAAATTCAAGTGGAAATTGAGTTGGTCTTATTTGTGCCCGTTGATATCTGAGGGCTGTGAGGAAGATGGCCAGTAGGTCAAAGGGAATAGTGTTGAAAAGCTGACCAGTACTGGGCAGGTGGCCGGCTGTCCCTCAGGCACCACAACGCCGAGCCACGGTAAGGGGCATGAGCCACATTTGCAGAATATAGCCAGAGTCCTTCCAGACCCTCCTGATTCGCGCCAGGAGGCATCCCAGGGCACACAAGTGTCAAGGGCCTACTCAGGTGCTTGGCAGAGCTCTCTGTGTGTTATTAACAGAAGAGGCTACGGCTTAGAGTGGAAAGGAGCATGTGATGGCTAGCGGTGGGCAGCCTGTGTACTCTGCCAAGTTTGGGTGGTCCAGGTCCCCACGATTTCTGTGTGGAGGGTTGTCCGGCATCTGGCCACTAGGGGGGCCGGTGGTTCTCACACACACGCAGCGGGGCTCCTTAGCACCTGGCTTATACAGCTTCCTGGGGACGCCAATCCAGTCTCTGCTCACACCTCCACTAAGGATAGACGGAAAGAGGACTTCTTAAATGTGAGAACTCATGAGTCTCTGGGAAGGGGAGAGCAGGAAGCAGAGAGCCAGGCCTTCTGAAAAGTAGAAGCCTACCAGAGTGTTTCCCAAGGCAGCAGGCTACAGCGCTCAGCCCCTGAGCCTTCATGCTCTCTCCTAACATCCTCCAGCTTCCCCTGCAGGGCCACCACCACCTTCCCCAGGCCAAGGGCACAGTCCATGGTTCCTTTCACTGTGCTCCCCAGCCCCTGCCCTGCCCCTTCTTAGGAGGCAGCACCACGTTCCTGCACTGGTGGCAACAGCTGTGAAAGGGCTTCCCCTGCTGGCCTGTGAGCTTCTCAGAAGCAGTGTCTGGGTGCGACTGTCCTCTTCCTTCCCCACTACAACCCAGCGCAGGTCAGGGTCTTCACCTTCTTCTCTGGGGCACTTGGCTGGGGGTGGGCAATTGGGCCCTGGCCCTTGGCCACCTGGGTCGGCCTTCTCTGGGAAGCCCTTGGCATAGAGTGTAGCTGCAAGCTGTCCTGTGCCCCACAGGTCCAGTCCTTGATGGCACTAGGCTTCAGACACGGAGGATTCAGCTGTGGCCCAACAACCTGAGCACCCTCCTATCTTGGGCAGGGGCCTTGCCCACCTCAGGGCACTGGGCTCAGTCTCTGATGGACTCAGAGGCCTTGCAAGAAAGAAACTGAGGTTCTTGGAACTGACGCCTCAGACAGCTTCCGGTGCCTGCTGTCAGAGAAACTGCCCCCAGCGAGAAAACATCCTACTTCTAGCTTACCAAGAACAAGGCTGTCACCCAAACGCCTCCCTCTTCTACCCAGCCTCCATCCCATCATTGGGGATCTGTACTCCACACCTTGTCCCTGCCTTCGGCACTTGTTCCTCTCAGTCTAATGGGACACACACAGGTGAACAGAAGACAACAAACTGAGCTGAGGCACAGGGATAGGGCCCCGCAGTTCACTAGGGTGGCCCTGGAAGGGTTTTGTGGGGAAGGCAGAGCCTGAACTACTCAGTCATGAAAGCAAGAAGAGGTTCAGGAGACACAGGGGAAGGCTGTGGGGAGGGAAAAGGAGGCAGGGCCCAAGGAAGCAAAGTCAAGCATCTGAACGCACGCAGGCCTCCTGGAGTCTCCTCCTCCTGGAGTCTCAGAGACCAGTGCTCTCTGAGGCTACCTGCATTCAGGCCTGTGTCACAGGAAGGCCCACGCCTATCTTAGCTTCTCTCCATAAAGTGAGCAGGCCAGGTTCTCACAGTCCCCTCTTTCTTGAGATGACACTGGAGAAGCTGTCTCTTCAAAGCTAGCGGCCAGGAAAGAAGGAGCTTTCCTTCCTGCTACCTTTGCCCTTGCTCCGCTCATTTAAGGCTGAGAACTCCGAATTTGCAGTGGTTTTTTTTGTTTGTTACTGTTTTTTTGTTATGTTGCCCAGGCTGGACTCCAACTCCTGAGCTCAAGCGACCTGCCTGCCTCAGTCTCCCAAGTAGCCAGGACCACAGGTGTGGCCCACAAGCCACCATGCCCGCCTCACCTGTTTTTAAGACAGCAGTTGAAGCCATCACTGCAGGTACCCTCCCCACCTCCTCGTCCCTCTCCTATAGATAGGCATGATTTGTGCTGTCAAACAGGAAACCAAAGCCCGTGGGTGGCTGAGCAGGCCAAAGAAAGCAAGAAATCCTGCTTGTGCCTTCTCATTCCCGGGTCAAGGTTGTGTCAGCAGGATCTTTGGAGAATTCGGAAAAAATAAAAAGATGCCCAGGCCTCAAGTCCAAGTCTCAACCCATTCAGTTGAGTGGAGTGAGGTCTGACCATCCGTAATTTCGGCAATTCCCCAGAAGATCTAATATGCAGCCAAAGTTGAGAATTATTATCAGTATTTTGAAAAAGCTCCCCAGGGTTAACAATCAATTCCTGAATTCACTGAATACTGCAGGCAGGATGGCCTAGGAGTTGGATTTGGGACAGGCAGAAAGGAGAAGAAGGGGAGCCTGCTTACCTCTTCTGGGAGCACCAGAGCCGGCTGCCCCTGGCTGAGCTCCACTCCGCGTTGCACGGCGGGAATGTCTGCTTCTCTTGCAGCTGTAGTTTGTTGGCCTCCAAGCCTCTGGTGATCGCAGCTTCTACCTGGGTCAGTGCCGGGGTGGGCAGCCCATCCTCTCCGTAGAACCGTCCTGTCACCCTCCCTGTGATGACAGGAAGGCAGATGTGAGTGAGAGTGAATACTCAGCTGCTGAGGCAGGTGTGGGAAGGCACAAGTTCCCAGGGTTTCTGACTTCAGTCCTGCTGGTGCGCGTTTAATAAGAACTTCTACTGCAGGCACTCCTGGTGCCTTGCACACCAACCTCTTAGCACCCTACAAGCCCCCACACAGCTGCATCCCTCTTCTAGCTGCAGAGCCCTTCAGCACAGAAACCATCAAACCTCTCTCACTTCCAGACAAGGCTTCCCTGAGGGCACAGCCATGTGTGATTCATTTCTCCATGCTTCCATGTGCTTGGAGCACACGCTGGGTATTCAATTAATGTTTGATGAATGAATGGCTTATTGGCTAACATTTTTTAAATGTTTATTATAATAGAGATGGGGTCTCACTCTGTTGACCAGGCTAGTCTTGAACTTCTGGGCTCAAGCAATCCTCCCACCTCAGCTTGTTGAGTAGATGGGGGTACAGGTGTAAGTCACACTGTGCCCGGCTTTAAAATGCCTGTCAGAATTTGTAAAAGTCTAAGCTATGGCAGCAGCCAGCAAGTGGTCCACCAGCCTATAGGCCAGAAGGAAAAACAGGTCAGTTCTCTCAGCCCAGGGTCCTAATGTAGCCCAGTCCTGAGGTGCAAATGCCCTTCAGAGGCAGCACCTGCCACAAGGCAAGAGAAGCAGAAAGGAAGCACTTGAGGGAGGTGCGACCGAAGAGGGAGCAACCCCTAAGAACTAGCTTTACCTTCGATTCTAGTGGCGCGTATGTTCAGCGCATCTGAGATTCAGCTCGTCTCCCAAGTCCAACGCCCTCCCTGACTTTCCCAAATCCGTGTTGCCTCTAGCCTGTGACCTGCATTAGGAGCCTGACTCCTCCTCCTCTACATCCACATCATACTCCCTTCCTTGCTGTCTGATCGGATCCATCAGAAAACCTCGTCAGTCCTACCTCTGAACAGATCCTGATTCTGTTCACTCCTTTCCATTCCCACTGCCATCACCCTCCTCCAAACCACGGACTGTGGCAGTGGCCTCCTAACTGCTCTCTGGTCAGCTCATGCCCTCCTAGAGTTCTCTGTCCATAAAACAACTAGGGGATCTTTTAAAAACATGAATCCTACCATGGCTCTCCGATGCCTGATTAAAACCCTTCAATGGCTTCTTAAAGCAGACAAAAATGCAAATTTCTTATCAAGGCCTCTAAGGCCCTGTAACCATTTAACTGATTTGCTTCTTCAGCCTCTTACAAGCTACGTCCCCCCTCGTTCACGGGGGGCTCCAGCACACTGGCTTCCTTTCTGTGTCTTGGCTGTGCTTCCCCACTCCCCACCTTCGCACCGCTCTTCCCTGACCCAGCACACTCTCCTCAGGTCTCGGTGTGGCTGCCTCCCACTCACCTGCCGGTCTCAGCTTAACGGTCATTTTCTCCAAGAAGCCACTCCTGAGCATGTGCTCTAAAGGAGCCAAAGCTCCCAAACGTATTACATCACAGTTTGATGCATGGTCCTATGTGGAGTTGTTCAATCTGTTTACTTGTCTATGATGGCTCTCTCTACTAGTGAGGCGCAGTACTCAGAACAGCTTAGCGCCAGGCGCAGCGGCTCACACCTGTAATCCCAGCACTTTGGGAGGCTGAGGCGGGCAGATCACTTGAGGTCAGGGGTTCGAGACCAGCCAGGCCAACATGGTGAAACCCTGTCTCTACTAAAAATACAAAAATTTGCTGGGCGTGGTGGTGCATGCCTGTAATCCCAGCTACCCAGGAGGCTGAGGCAGGAGAACTGCTTGAACCTAGAAGTTGGAGGTTGCAGTGAGCTGCAGTCGTGCCACTGCACTCCAGCCTGGGTGACAAAGCAAGACTCCATCTGAAAAAATATATAAATAAATAAAACAGCTTAGCATAGAGCATTCATTTTAAATACTTATTAGATGAATAAAGAAAGGAATCAGGGCCCGAGTCACAGGCCTGCAGTCTATGAGTTGGCCTGGCACAGAATTTCCCACTACGGGGGTTGGGGTGTCTGTGTTATATGGTGACAAGCCTGTCTTTGGTGAGTTTCTGACATGAGACCCAAAGAGAGGACAGTAGTAGCAGAGGCAACAGAGGAAGAGTTCTAGAATCTGTGTCATGAGAATGGTGATCACCAGTGGCTGCATCTCCAAGCCAATCCTGTATCCACAGCATAACCAAGGCCATCTTGTTTTCCCTTGAGGCCTGGCCATGTTGGCTGCCAAGATGGCTTCCTGGCTGTCCTCACTTCAGTATGTACCCTTACAATAAACCTTCATCCACTGATGTATCCTGAGGGTTTCTGGTAACCTGAAAGAGCCTAACATGGCCCCTATCCTACAGAATGAGCTAACAGGGGCAGGAACTGGACTCAATTCATCCCTGGTCCCCCTGAGGATGGAACCCGTAACTTATGAGTAGTAGGTATTCAATAAGATCCTGACATCAACTAAAATCCTTCTGAGGCATTTCCCGCCACATGCCCCACCCCATCCTCAACACATTATACATCATTCAAACAAGACCAGCTCACTTGTCACACCAAACGCATCCGAACACTTCCAGTGTGCTCCCAAATCTTAGTATGAAGTATTTGGCCTGGCATTCTTTGCCCATTTACAGGACTCTGTTCTTTTTTTTTTTTTTTTGAGACAGGGTCTCACTCCGTTGCCCAGGCTGGAATGCAGTGATGTGATCTCGGCTTATCGCAACCTCTGCCTTCCAGGTTCAAGTGATTCTCATGCTTCAGCCTCCTGAGTAGCTGGGATTACAGGTGTGTCCCACCACACCCAGCTAATTTTTTGTATTTATAGTAGAGACATGGTTTTGCCATGTTGGTCAGGCTGGTCTTGAACTCCTGACCTCAACTGATCCGACCACCTCAGCCTCCCAAAGTGCTGGGATTACAGGCATGAGCCACCGGTCTGGACTCCATTCTTATTCTTTTTCTTTTTTTTCTTTTTTTTTGAGACAGAGTCTCACTCAGCCACCCAGGCTGGAGTGTAGTGGTGCGATCTTGGCTCACTGCAACCTCCGTCTTCCAGGTTTAAGCAATTCTCCCGTCTCAGCCTCCTGAGTAGCTGGGATTACAGGCACCTGCCATCATGCCCGGCTAATTTTTGTATTTTAATAGAGACAGGGTTTCACCATGTTGGCCAGGCTGGTCTTGAACTCCTGACCTCAGGTGGTGATCCGCCCACCTCGGCCTCCCAAAGTGTTAGGATTACAGGTGTGAGAGACCACTCCTGGCTCTTATTCTTTTCTATTGGGTTTTCTTTTCTTTATTAACCCAGTAATGTTTCAACCTTGGTTTGGCAACTTCATTGGGAAAGGGAAGAACCCAGCCCTCTGAAGCGCAGGTGAGTAGAGGTCAGTGCCTTCGATGGTAGACAGGGTTATGGTCTCAAGACTGATCTTGGGCATACGAGAGAAAATGAAGAAAGGCGTGCTGCAGAGGCCCACAATGGATGGACACAAACTTTAGATATTATGAAAAAGCCATGATTGATTGGATGTGGAGGGAGCTGAGGTGTTAATAAAAATGCCAAGGTTCTCAGAAAAGGTAACTCAAGCAGTGATGACAGAAGCAGAAATTCAGAGGCATTAAGGAAAGAATTCTTCCAAGTTAGACCTGTTTCGATGGTGAAGTGATACTGGTGTTCCTCAGGAAGTCAGTCATGTCCAAGTAGGACTCCAGTGAGACGTGGGGGCTGCAGATAGATAGAAGAAAGGGCTACGGCCATCCCAGTTGTCAGTACTTGTGAAGCAATCTAGTGTTTAGTGTCTTTCGTTGAGGCTGGAGTGCAGTAGCGCAATCTCAGGTCACTGCAACCTCCATCTCCCGGGCTGAAGCGATTCTCCTGCCTCAGCCTCCTGAGTAGCTGGGAGTACAGGTGCGTGCCACCACGCCCAGGTAATTTTTGTATTTTTTAGTAGAGACAGGGTTTCACCATGTTGGCCAGGCTGGTCTTGAACTCCTGACCTCAAGTGATCCAACCGCCTCAGCCTCCCAAAGTGCTGGTATTACAGTCGTGAGCCACTGCGCCGGGCCTAGTGTTTAGAGTCTTTAACACTGCTTTAGGACACAGTTTGGTGTTGTCTCATTTGAGAAGCAAGTCCCTTATGTAGCATCAGTAAGTAGCAAGTGCAGTAACCTACACAGTGGTTTGATTAGCATAACTACCACCTGGGAGACAGCTCACTCACGAAGTTTGTCTCCTCCTAGAGGACCAAATAAAAGGGGATTTGTCGAAACACAAATTCAGGCTTCAAGCCCTTCTGGCTGTGTGCTGAAGCCAGATGCATCGAACACAGTGAGACAGGGAAGCTGCCCTTCTGGAGCTGGTTGTTCAAGGATGGTGCAAGCAACCACTGGCTATGGCGAAACTGAGGCCAAAGCAAGCAGCTTAGTAATCCTCTCCCAAGACTAAGAGTGGGGGAAGCAGGTGCCCATCCATCTCCTTCTGGGCGGCTCATCCCTATTCTAACGACCAGAATTTAAAGTAAAACAAATCCATGGCTGTTTTTCAGATTTTAAGCTTGAACCCAATCCCTAAAAAATCTCAGCCCCCTAAAAACACTGCAGACAACCAAATGAAATGTATGACCTATGGACGACTTACCAACACACACATAATTCTTCTCATAGAATGAAAGCCAATTGTGAAGTGTCAGCATCTCAGCGGCTGACAGGTCGGATACGTCATCCACGAGGCCTGCTTCAGAACAGTCCCCGGTCACGAAAGCTCTGGATGCGTCTCGGCCTGGAACAGAGATGTTTCCATCAGACCCAGGTGTAAACCACTGACACCATCCCCACTCAAGAATCTGTTTTCTTTCTTTTTCTTTTTTTTTTGAGACGGAGTCGCACTCTGTTGCCCAGGCTGGAGTGCAGTGGCATGATTTCAGCTCACTGCAACCTCTGCCTTCCGCTTTCAAGCCATTCTCCTGCTTCAGCCTCCAGAGTAGCGGGGATTACAGGCGCCCGCCACCACGCCTGGCTAATTTTTGTATTTTTTTAGTAGAGATGGGGTTTCACCATGGTGGCCAGGCTTGTCCTGACCTCAGGTGATCCGCCCACCTTGGCCTCCCAAAGTGCTGGGATTATAGGTGTGAGCCACCACGCCTGGCCAGAAACTGCTTTCTGAGAAACGTCTCTTGACAAGCCCTACTCCTTATCCCCAGGGAAATGGGGTCCCCACCACCTCCTCTGTGAAAGATGCTCCTAGACCTTGGACACACATCTCTTTGGCATTGGTCATATTCTTTCTTTTACCTTCGGCAAACTTTAACACAGCTGACCACTTCCCTTGGCCTGATTTTCCTCCTACTTCTCCAGCTCCTCACTGTCTACCAGCCTTAGGGGTCAATTACTGTCCACACCCTCACACTTGACAATCTCATCCACACCTGTGGTTTCAAAGCCCACCTACAGGCAAAGATAGCCACATCTGTATCTTTAGCTCAGATGTCTCCCAAGGCTCACACCTGTATATCCAACAACACTTAGACGTCTTACAGATATCACAAGATCAAAATGTTCACACTGGCTGGGCGTGGTGGCTAATGCTCATAATCCCAGCTCCTCAAGAAGCTGAATAAGGAGGACTGCTTGAGCCCAGGGGTTTGAGCTATGACCATGCCACTGCACTCCAGCCTGCGTGACAGGGTGAGACCCCATCTCTCTTAAAAAAAAAAAAAAAGTCCACATTGAAATAGTGATTATCAGCACCCTCACAGCCAGGAAACCTGTATCTACTCCAGTATTGCCTGTCTCAGTAAATGCCAACCAGTTGCTCAATCCAGGAATGCAGTTCTTTTTTTTTGTGCATGAGACGGAATTTTGCTCGTCGCCCAGGCTGGAATGCAAAGGCACAATCTTGTCTCACTGCATCCTCTGCCTCACGGGTTCAAGCGATTTGCCTGCCTCAGCCTCCCGAGTAGCTGGGACTACAGATGCGCACCAACATGCCTGGCTAATTTTTGTATTTTTAGTAGAGATGGGCCAGGCTGGTGTGGAACTCCTGACCTCCGGTGATCCACCCACCTTGGCCTCCGAAAGTGCCGGGATTACAGGTGTGAGCCACCGCATCCAGCCTGGGGAATGCAGTTCCCCATTTTTTTTTTTTTTTTTTTTTGAGACTGAGTCTCGCTCTGTTGCCCAGGCTGGAGTGCAATGGCGCAATCTCAGCTCAATGCAACCTCTACCTCCCGGGTTCAAGCCATTCTCCTGCCTCAGCCTCCTGAGTAGCTGGGACTACAGGTGCCCGCCACCACGTCCAGCTAATTTTTGTATTTTTAGCAGAGACGGGGTTTTGCCACGTTGGCCAGGCTGGTCTCGAACTCCTGACCTGAGGTAACGTTCCCGCCCTGCCCTCCCAAAGTGCTGGCATTAGAGGCGTGAGCCACCATGCCCAGCCTGCAGTTCCTAACACTTCCTTCATCCCTCACATCCAGTCTCCAAGTCCTGTTATTTTCTGCCTAAGCAGTGTTCTTGTGTCAGTCTGCCTGTCTCCACCCACATCTAAGCAAGCCCAGGCTGCCATCCTTTCTCACCTGAACTCCTACAGCAAACCTCAAGGAAGCCCTCCCTGCATTCATTCTTGCCCCACCAATCTGCTCTTCATACCACACTCAACTGATACTTTAAACACAAACTGATCACATCATTCTCCTGCCAAAGAATCCTCAGAGGCTTCCCTCTGTTCTATGAGAATGTCCAAATTCCTTAACACGTCATTCATTGTCCTGCACCAGCTGCCACCAACGCTGCCTTGCCAAATTTCTGTTTGTTTGTTTTTGAGACAGAGTTTCGCTCTTGTTGCCCAGGCTGGAGTGCAATGGCACAATCTCGGCTCACCGCAACCTCTGCCTCCCAGGTTCAAGCAATTCTCCTGCCTCAGTCTCCTGAGTAGCTGGGATTACAGGCATGCGCCACCATGCCCGGCTAATTTTGTATTTTTAGTAGAGATGGGGTTTCTCCATGTTAGTCAGGCTGGTTTCGAACTCCCAAACTCAGGTGATCGGCCCACCTTGGCCTCCCAAAGTGCTGGGATTACAGGCGTGAGCCACCACACCTGGCCACTGCCACGTTCTTTATTGTTCACTTTGCTCCCTTCCTCTCCTCCTCTTCAAATCGGTTACAGCCTCTGGTAACACCAGTACTTTTCCTTTTAACACTTTTCACAAAAATAATACATTAATTGTGTAATATCTATTTAATATCTATTTAATGTCTGTCTTTTCTACTAGTAAGTTTTATCAGGTAAGACAACACACCAAACTCATTTACTATGGATTCCCCAGTGTCTGGTACAGTGCCTGATCTTTAGTAAATTCCCAGTAAATATCAAACGAATTAAATACATAGTTTTTTTCTTTTTTGAGATAGAGTCTCGCTGTATCGCCCAGGCTGGAGTGCAGTGGTGCGATCTTGGCTCACTGCAACCTCTGCCTCCTCGGTTCAAGGGATTCTTCTGTCTCCAACTCCCAAGTAGCTGAGACTACGGGCATGGACCACTGTGCCCAGCTCACACAAACATTTGTACATGAATGTACATAGTGGCATTATTTATAACAGGCAAAAAAAGTAGAAAGAAACCAAAAATCCATCAACTGATAGATAAAATGTGGTATATCCATATTATTAGAATTATAGTATCTATAGAATATTTTCAGCCATAAAGGAATAATGCACTGCTACATGCTGGTACACCATGGATGAACCCTTAAAACATGATGCTAGGTGAAAGAAGCCAGACACAAAAGGCCACACGTATGACTCCATGAAATGCCCACAATAGGCCAATCGACAGGAAAAGAAAGTAGATAGTGGTTGGCAAAGGAAGGAATAAGGAGTGACTGCTAATAGATAAGAAGTTTCTTTCTGGGGTGAGAAGAATGTTCTAGAGTTAGTGGTGACATTTTTACAAATTTCTGGCTATACTAAAAAAAAAAACCCACCGGGCCAGGCGCGGTGGCTCAGGCCTGTAATCCCAGCACTTTGGGAGGCTGAGGTAGGCAGATCACGAGGTCAGGAGATCGAGACCATCCTGGCTAACACAGTGAAACCCCGTCTCTACTAAAAATACAAAAACTTAGCCAGGTGTGGTGGTGGACGCCTGTAGTCCCAGCTACTCGGGAGGCTGAGGCAGGAAAATGGCATGAACTCAGGAGGCGGAGCTTGCAGTGAGCCAAGATTGCGCCACTGCACTCTAGCCTGGGCGACAGAGTGAGACTCCATCTCAAAAAAACAAAAAAAACACTGAATTTTGGCTCATACCTATAATCCCAGCACTGTGTGAGACCTAGGCAGGTGGATCACATGAGGCCAGGATTTCCTGTCCAGCCTGGCCAACATGGCAAAACCCCATCTCTATTAAAAATAAAAAAAATTAGCCAGACATGGTGGCACACGCCTGTAATCCTAGCTCCTCGGGAGGCTGGGGCACAAGAATATTGAACCCGGGAGGCAGAGGTTGCAGTAAGCCAAGATTGCGCCACCGCACTCCAGCCTGGGCTAAAGAACCAGTTTATCTCGAAAAATAAAAATAAATAAATAAAAAGGTTGGGGGCAGTGGCTCACACCTGTAATCCCAACACTTTCAGCGGCTGAATCACTTGAGCTCAGGAGTTCAAGACCGGCCTGGCCAACATGGCGAAAACCCATCTCTACAAAAAATACAAAAATTAGCTGCACGTGATGGTGCACACCTATGGTCCCCGCTACTTGGGAGGCTGAAGTGGAAGGATTGCTTGAGCTTGGGAGGCGGAGGTTGCAGTGAGCCAAGATCATGCCACTGCACGCCAGCCTGGGTGACAGAGGCAGACCCTGTCTCTAAACAACAAAAAACCCCACTGAATTGTATACGTTAAAAGGACTTTACATCACGTGAATTACATCTCAATGAGAAATAAAATACTGAATGAACGAATACGTGGACATAACTGCTTCCCAACTAGACTGTGTGGGCGGTGGGGAGCATGTTGCAGACATCTTGGATTCCACAGCCCCTGACACAAGGTAGGTAGTGGTAAATAAAGATGGTCAATGAATACCAGAACACGGGAGCTCAGTAAACAGCAGAGCACACTGAAAAATAAAAAGCACTCCAGACATCGAAGGTTTTATGCCCACACTTGTGCAAACATCCAACGACAGCTCCCACAGCACGCAGCAGGGCAGCGCAACGAAAACTGCCTTCAACTAGCAGCGACAAAACACCTTGATTCCAGTCCCAGCTCTGCTTCTAACTCACTGTGTACCCCTGAGTAAGTCCCTTCCCCTGCTGGACTATCTCAGGGGATTTGCGAGACCAACTGGACTTCATTCCTTTTCTGTCAACTTTTGTATTTCTTTAGTACTTCCTAGACAGAGGGAAGTGGCTTGTATTTTAAGTGCTAGAGGCAGCTTCCCAATTCCCCTAAGATAATGACAAGTGGAAAATGCTTATTTAATGTCAGCCTAGTAGCTGATCTTAGGCTTGCCCTGCACTTTTTTTTTCTTTTTAAATTTTGGAGGTCAGTCCCGCTGGCTGGCAAGGCAACATCTGTAAAAAAGCACTAGGCTGGCCGGGTGTGGTGGCTCACGCCTGTAATCCCAGCACTTTGGGAGGCCAAGGTGGGCGGATCATAAGGTCAGGAGATCGAGACCATCCTGGCTAACATGGTGAAACCCCGTCTCTACTAAAAATTCAACAAATTAGCCGGGCGTGGTGGTGGGCGCCTGTAGTCCCAGCTATTCGGGAGGCTGAGACAGGAGAATGGCGTGAACCCGGGAGGCAGAGCTTGCAGTGAGCCGAGATCAGGCCACTGCACTCCAGCCTGGGCGACACAGCGAGATTCCATCTTTAAAAAAAAAGCACTAGACTGGTGGTCCGAGTCCATATTCTGTCAGTATTCAGGTGTGAGGGTTTCAGGCAAATCGCATCCTTTAACCCCCTCAGCTGTAACACAGGGACACCAGCATAAACTTAATTTGACAAATGTTTCTTGAGGCCTAACATATGCACAACTTTGGTCTACGTATCAAGGACTGTAAAGGTGACTGGACCCCTTTCCTCTGCCCTAACCTTCTAAGGAAGGCAAACAGGTGCATCTTGTACTAGAAGCAGGAATGACTCAGACCAAATGTACTATATGACGGGCCATAAAGGAATAAAGTATTGATGCATGCTCATAAACCATGGATGAACCTTGAAAACACTATGCTTAGGGGTGGGGGGAAGAAAGATTATTTGGGACCAGGGCATAATGAAGAGATGGTTGGAATTATTAAGGAAACTGTGAGGGTAGGGGCGGGGCGGGATCTCGTTTATCTGTGCCCTAAGAGCCCCCACAAAAGTCCGGCACACAGCCCGTATCCTAGGGCTTCCGACGCTGGGTAATGGGTAACAAGAGACAGAAGACATGTTTCTCCAATGTAAGTCACGCAGGGCGGTGGTGGATGACAGAGCTGGCCCACAGTCCCGCCAGAGCCAGAGAGCCTAGAAGGATAGTGCATGCAGCTCGTCCCGCCCACCGCACGGGTTTGATGGATGTGGGGTGGGGATGGGGGGGGAAATAGATGAATAATGAACCAACGAACGACGCGCAGGTGGCTACTGGCTCGCGCCAGCGGAGAGAAAGGCGTGAGCAGCCTCGCTGATACCTGCGAAGCCGCTATAGTGGGACCCAGGCTCGTAGTGCCTCCGGCCGGAGGACACATCGTAGACACGGCCGAGCAACGCCAAGTACAGGCCCGGGTCCCCTGGGCCGCCGCGGTAGCGAGACAGCTCCTCCGGTATGAAAAGGCGAAAGCCAGCGCGGGGACCCCACCAGCCCATAAGCCGTGCTGCCATTACCGCTGCTGCGGCTACAGCCAGGCCCAACAAAAGCCCACGGCCTCCGCACCTCAACATCTATATAGGCCCACCCGCTCCGCACTTCCGAGGTTGCCGCCTCTATCTACAGCTAAGATGGCCGAGACGCCGAGCGTGACGTCATCGGCGCGCGCGCTCTCGCTCTCTCTCTCGCGCGCTAGTGCTCGCGCTCCCTCCCTTAGTCTCTCTCGTTTTATCTGTATTCCTGGCACTGGCGAAAAGCTCGCTGTCTGCGACTTTTTCCAGGTACTTTTTTTTTTTTTTTCTGAGACAGAGTTTTAGCTCTTGTTGTCCAGGCTGGAGTGCACTGGCGGAATCTCGGCTCACTGCAACCTCCGCCTCCCGGGTTCAAGCGATTCTCCTGCCTCAGCCTCCCAAGTAGCTGGGATTACAGGCACGCGCCCCCACGTCCGGCTAATATTTTGTATTTAGTAGAGACAGGGTTTCACCACGTTGGTCAGGCTGGTCTCGAACTCCTGACCTCAGGTGATCCACCCGTCTCGGCCTCCCAAAGTGCTGGGATTACAGGCGTGAGCCACCGCGCCTGGCCCTTCTCGTACTTCTTGGCTTGCAGGTTGTCAGCCCCAACAAAGATGGCGGCAGCGGAGGCTACGGAATGACGTAGATACTGAGACAGACTCGTCCTCTGGGAAATCAAGGTTGCACCCTTTGAGGCGGCGCTCCCCGCCTAGCTGTCGTGAGTTGGTAGAGGCCGCCTATCTACGTGACGGCGCCTTTGCGACAGCGGTCGTCGCTTGACGGCCAGGAAGCCGGAAGCCGCAGGGGCCGCCGTCGTCTCCTCCGCGTCCCCGCCCGCCAGCTGCTGTCGGAGGTTGACAGGTCGAGGCGGGGAGGCGGCGGCGGCGGCTGCAGAGCCAGGCGCCCAAGACGGAGACCCCATGGGGAACGCTCCGAGTCACAGCAGTGAAGACGAAGCGGCAGCTGCCGGTGGCGAGGGCTGGGGCCCACACCAGGACTGGGCCGCGGTCTCGGGCACGACCCCCGGCCCGGGCGTCGCGGCTCCAGCGCTACCACCCGCCGCGGCGCTGCTGGAGCCGGCCAGGCTGCGAGAGGCTGCTGCAGCGTTGCTGCCCACACCCCCCTGCGAGTCGCTGGTGTCGAGGCATCGCGGCGCGTTGTTTCGCTGGCTGGAAGAGCGGCTGGGCCGCGGCGAAGAGTCTGTCACTCTGGAGCAGTTCCGGGAGCTGCTGGAGGCTCGCGGCGCCGGCTGCTCTAGCGAGCAGTTCGAGGAGGTCAGGGCCGGCAGGCGACTGCGGGGATGGGGCAGGGCGGTCGCCCCCAGGGGACTGAAGGAAGAGGTGGGCATTTGCTTTGGAGAGGCCAGGCGGGGACCCATATGAGGTGTTTCCAGCTTTTCACCAGGCGTTTGCTTCGTTTCTCTTTAACCTATGTTAGAGGTCTGGAAAGTCTGCATCAGGCCGTCCTTGCTCTGAAGAGCTGGACAAGCCCATATGTCTCTCTCTGTATGTTGTAATGCAGACCTTTGTGCAGTTGATTGACGCTACTCTGGAGATCTTCTATCAGATTCTCGAACAGTTTGGAGAGAAAAGAGATGTAAGGATAGGAGGAGTGGCGCTGAGAACCATTTTTTGTATTGTCCTGTCCAGGTTTTTACACAGCACCTTCCCAATTCAGTGTGGGCGCCGAATAAGTGTGGAAAGACAGTAGTAACATGCTGGAAAGGCTCACATTCTAAAACCTATCCTCCTCATGCAAAAACTAGCTTTTCTAAAATACATACTGGTTTGTAGATCCTTAAAGAACCATATATTAGACTCATTTAAACCTTCATAGGATCCGAAACTGATAGGCAAATACCAGGTTTCCTGTGAATACTTGTAATTATGCAGTTCTTCATATAATCACCAAGATCATGTCTGCTAAGTCATTAAGAGAGCAAATTGATTTGGCAACAAAATATTTTCCTTGGAAGGCATTTTGGGAGTTTATTTACTGGGCGCTTCACTTCGAGTTAAGAAGACTGATCCAGGGTTACCCAGTGAATCATTAGTAAAACAGACTATCAACTAGATCTCTTGCTTTTTTTTTTTTTCTTTCTTTCAACTTTTATTTTAAATTCAGGCGTACATGTGCAGGATTTGGATTTGCAGATGTATTACATAGGTAAACGTGTGCCATGGTGGTTTACTCCACACAGCATCCCATCACCCAGGTATTAAGCCCAGCATCCATTAGGTATTCTTCCTGATGCTCTCTCTCCCTCCACCCGCACCCTATTTTTTGTTTTTAATGTCTCACTACCTCCTTCCTGGGATCCTATTTCTTTTAACACCACGGTATGACCAAAAAGGTACTTATTTTGTGAAAATGAGTTAGCCAGTCATGTAGAATCTTCAGTGGCCACGAAGGGTGTGTACATAAAGCAGTAAACCAGCGGGTACTTGCAGTGCCTTTAAAAGGTTCTGTTCACCTTAAAATCAGAGGCTTTTAAAATATTTTAAGAATGTCTTCCTGTACATGGCCAGAATTCAGATAATGTAGTTTGTGTGTTTCTTATGAAAAAAGTACCTTTAAGGCATCCCAACCCTTAAAAATAATAGTCATGGCTGGGCGCAGTGGCTCACGCCTGTAATCCCAGCACTTTGGGAGGCTGAGGCGGGAGGATCATCTGAGGTCAGGAATTCAAGACCAGCCTGGCCAACGTGGTGAAACCCCACCTCTACTAAAAATACAAAAATTAGCTGGGCATGGTGGCGGGTGCCTGTAATCCCAGCTACTTGGGAGGCTGAGGTGGGACAACCGCTTGAACCCAGGAGGCGGAGGTTGCAGTGAGCTGAGATCACGCCACTGCATTCCAGCCTGGGCCTCAGAGCGATACTCTGTCTCAAAAAAAAAAAAAAAAGTCATATTAGTTAGTGAAAGATCTCCTTTTTTTTTCCCCCCAGGAATACACATAGTACCTTCTTTCTAGTATCTACGCGTATTATGAGAATATGAAGTAGTAGTGGGAAGAACCATGCAGAACTGTTGAAGGAGATGGCACTTTGCAGATTTGAGCAAAGGCAAATGGAGAGAAACACCGTTTACATTCTGAGAGTTTCTGACAGAAATAGAACTTTATGTAGAGTTCATAGGAGTCCCTTAATAGAAGGTCAAGAAATACTTGAGGTGTGGTCCAGAAATCACTCAGGGGTTGTGGCATTATTGTTCACTGAGCAAATGTTTATTGGGCGTATATCGAGTGCCACTCACTTGGATGACAGTGGACAAAGCAGATACTTGCTCTTAAAGAGTATGTAGTTGTGGTGGAAGAGACAGGTATTAACCCATTAATTATAAGATATGGTGAGTGTTAACCGAGGGGGAAGGTATAAGGAATAAATAGCAAGTGTATTTAACCTCACTTGGGGCTCAAGCAAGACTTACCTGAGAAGGTAACATTTCAGCCCACAGGTGAATGGTGAAAGCAGATAGTGTTACAGGAGGTAGTAACAGCGTTTCAGGCAGAGGAAATTGTATCCACAAAAGTTCAAAGTCCAGAGAATCTGGAAGAAGTCTGGTGTGGTGTATTAGGGATACACAAAACTTTTTCAAGGGACAGAAAACCTAATGCATCAGTGGTTTAAACATAAAAAGAAGCTGCTTCCTTATGAAAATGTCCAGGTAGGCAGTCCAAGATTGATGTGGCAGTGTTGTCATCATCAGGGACCTGGCTTCGTCCATCTTGTGCTGTCATCCTCCACGGACATCTTCCACTTAGTAATTCTGTTGACTCCTGCTGTCATTTTCCACATTCCAACAAGCAAGAAAGGGAAAAGGGAAGGAGAAGGAAGAAGCCATGCCCACTCTCTTACGGGCATAGCTTACATCCCACAGGCCAAAATTCAGTCACATGGCCGCAGTTACCTGCAGGACAGGCTGGGAAAGATTCTTTTTCCGTGGCCATATATTCAGCTAAAACTCAGGGCTTAATTATTGAGGAAGGGGAGAGAAAACATTGAGTTATATTTGGCAGTCTTTGATTCACATAGCTAGGTCATACAGTTCTGTGAGTGAGGCTTAGCCAAGGTTTAAAAACCTGATTGTGATAATCTCACAGTGGCCACCGTCTCTCATGATAATCTTGTGATGGCTGCTCTGTCTGTAAGAACTAGTAAGTTAGGACTAGCCAAAGAAGATAAGATTTAGCCATGCATTTGATTCTGTGCTTTAAGAATGTCTATCCTTAGACTTGAATAAGTATATACTTTTGTGCATACTTACACAGTTAATTCTGCGTTGTTAATCTACGTCTAAGCTTTTGAGAATATACTGCTGTATTTTACTGCAAGATGAAGGGCTTGTGAAGTAATGTCTTTATAGTAGCAACTAAAATGACAAGTTGTTTCCGTCATTCGTTTTTATAAGAGCTAACATGGTAAAACAGATAGCCACGGGTGCGCATGGTTTATTATAATGCTGAGAGTTTCCAAGTGTTACATGTTTCTTCTTTGGCTTCCCAACTTACGCTGCCATTGGTGTCCACGCAGCTGTCTTGCTTTCACATTCCTGTGACCTCAGTTATTTGAGGAGGTGTTATAAAGAAGTTCTTGGAGTTGGACCATGGACCAAAGTCTGAAACATTATCATTTTATAGTACAACACACCTTTTCTCATGGTAGGTGTGGTCCAGGGAGAAGGTGCGCATGGTTTATTATAATGCTGAGAGTTTCCAAGTGTTACATGTTTCTTCTTTGGCTTCCTAACTTAGCTGCCATTGGTGTCCACGCAGCTGTCTTGCTTTCACATTCCTGTGACCTCAGTTACTTGAGGAGGTGTTATAAAGAAGTTCTTGGAGTTGGACCATGGACCAAAGTCTGAAACATTATCATTTTATAGTACAACACACCTTTTCTCATGGTAGGTGTGGTCCAGGGAGAAGGGACTCTCTCAGTTTGCTCACAAGGAGCAATATTTAATTAACTGCCATGTAGAGGGGAAATAGAATTAAAATTAAGTTCTTATTTCACATCAGAGGTTATAGATTAGATATTTATGCTCTTAGAGTATGATTCTAGAAAATCTTCTAGGGCAGAAAAACGTGCTGAGTACAGGATAACAGATGGCCCTAAAGTGAAATTTCATATGAATAGGTTGTGTTTTATTAATTTGCCACATAGTTTTGGTGCCTACTTTGTGAAATTCGTGGGGTGGTAAGCTCTAAGGGAAGGGCCTTTTTGATTCATCTCTGTTCATCGTCTTAGCACAGTCCTGGGTGGTTGCCAGTGCCCAGGTGCTTTGGGAGACTGTAGAAGTTGTAGTCCACACACACTCAAACCTCATATTTTATATTCAGTCTGTAACCTTTTAATATTTCTTGACATTGAAGGAAACGGTTAAATATGATTTTTGTGAAAACTTTAAAAGGTTCTTAGTCACTTTCGGGTTTACAGGAAGTTTGTAGAAAAGCCCTGTGCTCGTCTTCATATTATTATGTGAAAAGTATTAATCAACTAATTTAGAATGGCTTTGAGCCCAGGAACTGTGCCGTAGGAATCTGCAGATGTGATTATCTGCCCTTTTAAGACTATTGACTGTAAGAGCTGTGTGTGTGCACCATAAAGCAACAGCAGGCTGCCAGCTTTTCTTGCCTTCAGCCGGGAGCCCTCAGCTCTCCACTACCCAAGGGACCAAATATGTATTTGTCTGAATCGGTTGAAGCCCACACATCAGCCTAACTCTCTCAGCTAATTTACCTTTCCCCCACCTGCACTAGCCCTGTGCTAGCTAGTGGGATGCCTGCTTTGTTCCTAACTCCCTTACCTAATTTATCTTCCCCCTACCCCCGCATGAGCCCTGTGCTGGCTAGTGGGACACCTCCTTTGTCCTGTGTATGGACCTTGCTATCAGTTCTTGAAGATTCCCCACCTTGGCACTGTCACCTGGTCAGCACCACATCTTCTGTGGCATGATTCAGATAGTGTCTCCATAATGGTGTTTTCAGCCCTACAGCTGAGGCTCCTGTTACCTGTTCTGTACAGATCCTTTGGCACTTAGAGCATACTGTCTGGCCTTGCTGTGCAACTAGGCTGTGAGGCCGCCAGCCACCTGCCTGCACTACCATTGTACACAGGAGGTCTTTGGTAAGGGATGGCTGGCTGTGGATGGTGATGAGGCAGTACAGGAAAGATCCTTGGTGAGTGGAGATTATTATTATTATTATTTTGAGACAGAGTCTCTGTTGCCCAGGCTGGAGTGCAGTGGCACAATCTTGGCTCACTGCAAGCTCCGCCTCCCAGGTTCACACCATTCTCCTGCCTCAGCCTCCTGAGTAGCTGGGACTACAGGCGCCTGCCACCACGCCCGGCTAATTTTTTGTGTTTTTTAGTAAGAGACGGGGTTTCACCGTGTTAGCCAGGATGGTCTCGATCTCCTGACCTTGTGATCCGCCCACCTCGGCCTCCCAAAGTGCTGGGATTACAGGCATGAGCCATCGCACCTGGCCGAGTGGAGATTATTTTTGCTTACTTTGGCTTTGTGTGTTTTGCTATGGGGGAGTTAATGGTATTGGTTTCTTTGGAGAAATTCATGACCTAGGAGAGCTATGGAGGAAGGGCCACAGCTCTTTTGTCTCTCCCTGATTTCCAAAATACCACCTCACCATGGTACTGCCTTGCTTTAGAAACTTCAGTGGCTCCCCATTGCCTTCAGAATCACATCTGAATGGTGGAGCAGCCTTTACACTCTTATACCTTCTACCCTTGTCTCCCAGTGCTCTTTAAGCAGCCACTTTATGGTCCCGTTTCCCATGTATGTGGGAATTTTGTCCTTTGCTCTCCTTCTCCTCCTGTCTGCTCCCTGCTCCATCCTAAGCCCACTCCAGTTTCAGGGACCACAGAGAAGCAGTTACCAGCAGCATGGAGTTTGAGAAAGGCTTCATCACAACAAGGCTTGAGAGGCTGGAAGAATTCGCCTGGCAAAGGAAGGAAGGGATTTGCCGTATGAAAGGCACAGCATATGCAGATATACTGGAGTGAGAGGGCATGGCACGTTTTGGGAATGATCCTTTAGCACCTAGCCTACAGTCTGAACCAGCTGGGACCTTGGTACTCATTGCCTGCAAGCTGCCCCCTCTCTGCCCCCGAAAAGGGACCCCTTTCATAGCAACCTGGACGGGTGTGTAATTAGCCTGTAATGGCATCAGCGGGTTTGCCGTGTTATGAGTCTGCTCATTCTGCTGTTCTTCAGACTGAGCTTGGGAACTGGGCCTCGAGCCAGCCTGCTTGTGAGCAAGTTCTAGTTCCACCATTCTCAAGCCAGCTGACTTTGGTCAACCTACTTGACCACAGTGTCTCAGTCGCCTCACCCATAAAACCAGCTCACCTGCTCAGTGCTCAATAAGTGTTGTAATTGGCAGTGTTACTGTTTTCTATGGTTGTAGTTCAAGATGTTTATTCTAGCCTCTGTAATGTCTTTGTTTTTTTTTTTTTGAGACGGAGTCTCACTCTGTCGCCCAGGCTGGAATGCAGTGGCACAATACCGGCTCACTGCAACCTCCACCTCCCAGTTTTAAGCGATTCTCCTGCCTCAGCCTCCCGATTAGCTGGGATTACAGGCACCTGCCCCCATGTCTGGCTAATTTCTGTATTTTTAGTAGAGACGGGGGTTTCACCATGTTAGCTGAGTGTGGTGAAGCGCGCCTGTAGTTCCAGCTACTCGGGAGGCTGAGGCAGGAGAATCGCTTGAACCTGGGCGACAGGTTGCAGTGAGCCGAGATCGCACCACTGCACTCCAGCCTGGCAACAGCGAGACACCGTCTCAAAAAAAAAAAAAAAAAGAGAAAATATCAGAGTACATTGTAACTGATGAGAAAAAGTATTGCATTGTTTCTTGGAACTTTGATACCAATTATGTGTATGCTAGGTCATGATGCAAAATGTATTTTACTGGATCAGCCAATAAAAGTTGAGAAGCACTTGTTCTGAGGTTTATTGACAAACTAGAGGGATCCCAAAGGTGACAATCAGGATGGGAATGAGACTGAGACCATAGCAAATGGAGAGCTGGTGGAAAGAATGGAGAAGGGTTTGGCAGGAACTCCGAGGACCTGATCGCTGTTATCAGTGATCTGCAGGTTGTCTCTGGGCAGAAGGAGTAGATGTGTTCTGAATGGCCCCAGGGATGGTAACTTTGGGGAGGCAGGTTTTCAGTTCACTAGAGGAAGAGAGTTACTGCTGTCAGAACTGTCCAGAGGAGATGAGCTGGGAAGCATCACTGATGTGTGTAACAGAAAGTGGCTGAGCGCTCTCAGAGACACTGGAGAATGGATTCAGGCTGTACAGAGGCACCTTTTTTTTTTTAAGATGGAGTCTTGCTCTGTTGCCCAGGCTGCAGTGCAGTGGTGATTTCAGCTCACTGCAACCTTTGCCTCCCAGGTTCAAGGAATTCTCCTGCCTCAGCCTCCTGAGTAGCTGGGACTACAGGTGCCCCTCACTACGCCAGGCTAATTTTTTTGTTTTTAGTAGAGATGGGGTTTCATCATGTTACCCAGGCTGGTCTTGAGCTCCTGGGCTCAAGCAATCCTACTGCCTTGGGCTCCCGAAGTGCTGGGATTACAGGCGTAAGCCAACGCATCTGGCACAAAGGCACATATTTTAAGAGATTTGTAGGTCCCACACATAAGAGAGCTTATGCAGATCTGGGGTGATCAGCGCCCTCCACCCTTAATAGTCTCCAGTGGCCCCATGGTGCCCTTACTGTAATATCTGAGCTCTTCATCCTGGGTCTGCCAGGCTCTTTTTATTCTGACCTCTAGCCCTGTCTTCATCACCTGCCCTGTTCCTTTCCAGCCACACCAGGCAGGTCATAGTTCTCACTATCTGCCATACAGTCTTTATGTATGCTGACAGTCTGTCTCCTCTACCTGAGATTGCCTCTCCCTCGCCATATACTTTCAAACTCCTAGTTACCCATTAAAGCACAGTTTAAGGGTTGTTTTTTTCTGGGCCATTTCCCCTAACGCCCCTCCCTGTCTCGGACTTCTCATCCCTGGAGTGTCTGTTGGCCCATGGTATAGTGGTTAATTGTGGCATCTGGAATCAGTCCAGGATTCAAATTCAAGCTCCATCGTGTACTAACCATATGCCTTAAAAAAAATAACCTCTCTGTTCGTCACCAGCAAAAAGGTAGTACCTACCTTTAGAGTTGTTGTGGAAAATATAAGTTGATCCATGTGAAGGGCTTAGAACTCTGCCTGGTGCTCACTAACATTGGCTGTTGTAAATAGTTTATACTCTTAGTTCTCGTATCGTAATTGTCACACCTATTACATTGCTGCTGTTGGTTTACAGATCTGTCTTCTAGGCTGTGAGGTTTTTGAAGGGAAAGGACTGTGTGCCCTATTCATCTTTGTATCCACAGAGCCAAACACAGGATCAGGTATTTATATAATAATTATATATTATATAAATATATATATATAAATATATATAAATATATATATATTTTTTCTTTTTGAGACAGGGTCTTCATCTACCACCCAGGCTAGAGTGCAGTAGTGTGATCACAGCTCACTGCAGCCTTGACCTCCTAGGTTCAAGCGGTCCTCCCACCTCAGCCTCCTGGGTAGCAAACCTGAACATTTCTTTTCTTAAGACAGTCAGTTTTTGAGTGTTAGGAAATTACATAATTATTTGGTGAAGCTGTTCACAAAGCTGTGGTAATTTTTTTCTTAGCCAAAATTATTTGTTTTTGTTTTATTCGAAAATCCCTTTTATCATATTCATTAACTATTGATGAATCAATAGAATCTATTAAAAATAGCAAAAATGGCCTGGCACAGTGGCTTATGCCGATAAATCCAGCAGTCTGGGAGGCCAAGGCAGGAGGATTGCTTGACCCCAGGAGTTTGAGACCAGTCTGGGTAACATAGTGAGACTTTGTTTCTACAAAAAAATAAAAAACTAGCTGAGCATGTCCCAGCCACTCAGGAGGCTGAGGTGGGAGGACCGCTTGAACCTAGGAGGTCAAGGCTGCAGTGAGCTGTGATCACGCTACTGCACTCTAGCCTGGGTGGTAGATGAAGACCCTGTCTCAAAAAGAAAAAAAAAAAAGATAGCAAAAATGTCAGTATTTTTATAGCCTTGGTTATATAGAATTTTTATTAGCAATACACAGCAGGAGTTGTGTGGGAAGTTGGAGGTGCAGGGAGTGCTTGATTTGTGGAAGTTTTGGTGGAAGTGGGACTTGAGTGCTACCTTGAGATTCAGAGGGAGTGAGTCTCACTTCTAGAGTTGATAGGAGTTCACCTGGACAAAAGGAGCGGAAAGCAGCTTTTATAGATGGAGGAAAGTAATGGAGCTAAGAGGTTTTAAGCATTTGGTCTTCAGATGGTAAGGAACCCGAGGGGTTATCTGGTCAAAGGAAGGGGAAGGGAGTTGTGGTGAAGAACATGAACCCTGAAGCCTTGGATGCAAACACTAGCTGTGTGACCTCAGGCAAGGTACCTGACCTCTCTGTACAACTATAAGACGGGGAGGTTAATAGTACTGTTACTGTTATGAGGAATAAATGACATTATAGTATATAAAATGCTCTGCTCGGTGCCTGGCATTTAACGAGTGCCCAAATATTGATTCATAGTTTCCAAGTCTGTGTGTCGTTCCCAACTGAATGAATGATAGCTGTGCTAATCTCCTCAGACCTTGAGTCTTACAAATATCATTATTTTCTCAGTATGCTATAATGTGAACAATTTGGGAAGTAGCTATTATCTGGTAGTGTAGCGTTCCCACCGCAGGGCCTCAGGGAAGATGAGGCTCTGCTCTGTGCCACCTCCTTCTTCCCCCACCTGCTCCACTTTTTTTTTTGAGATGGAGTCTCGCTCTGTCGCCCAGGCTGGACTGCAGTGGCGTGATCTCAGCTCACTGCAAGCTCCACCTCCCAGGTTCATGCCATTCTCCTGCCTCAGTCTCCCGAGTAGCTGGGACTACAGGCGCCCGCCACCACACCCGGCTAATTTTTTGTATTTTTAGTAGAGACGGGGTTTCATCGTGTTAGCCAGGATGGTCTTGATCTCCTGACTTCGTGATCCACCCGCCTCGGCCTCCCAAAGTGCTGGGATTACAGGCGCCCGCCACCACACCCGGCTAATTTTTTGTATTTTTAGTAGAGATGGGGTTTCACCGTGTTAGCCAGGATGGTCTCGATCTCCCGACTTTGTGATCCACCCACTTTGGCCTCCCAAAGTGCTGGGATTACAGGCGCCTGCCACCAAGCCCGGCTAATTTTTTGTATTTTTAGTAGAGACGGGGTTTCACCGTGTTAGCCAGGATGGTCTTGATGCCCTGACCTCGTGAACCGCCCACCTTGACCTCCCAAAGTGCTGGGATTACAGGCGGAGGCAGGTGGATCACTTGAGGCCAGGAGTTTGAGACTAGCCTGGCCAACATGGTGAAACCCCAGCTCTAGGAAAAATACAAAAATTAGCCACGTATGGTGGCGCATGCCTTTAATCCCAGCTACTTCGGAGGCTGAGGCATGGGAATCACTTGAACTCTGGAGGCCGAGGTTGAAGTGAACCATGATTGCACCACTGCACTCCAGCCTGGTGTCTCAAAAAAAAAAAAAAAAAGAGAAAATTTAGGCTTTTATTTTTATCAGTTGTACATGCACACGGTATATAGCCGACAGGACTTGAACAAGAAACAATGCTTTCCTGCTGTCCTGTCCCAATGTCTCATTCCCCAAGAACAATTACTTTTCAACTCTAGCTGGTTCTTGAGTGTTTAACGCTGTATTACCAAGTAATATGTTTATGTTCTTTGTGATTGTTTTCAGTTTTAGGCTTTATCTATTTTATTTCCACCATCAGTGATGAGACTTGAGTTGTCTTTTACCTTCCCATCGTTGCCCATGCATGCACGTCCCCTGTCCTCCCGCTACAATTCTGTCCATTTTGTTTAGATCACCCTTTGACCTTTACCTTATTATGATTATGTAAGTTCTTTACATTGCTGTGCCATATAGTACCATGTTTTTGTTTTTCTTTTTTTTTGAGACAGGGTCTTGCTCTGTCACCCAGGCTGGAGTACAGTGGTGCAATCTTGGCTCACTGCACCTCGACCCCCTAGGCTCAAGTGATCCTCCCACCTCAGCCTCTCGACTAGCTGGGATTACAGGTGCATACCACCACGCCTGGCAAATTTTTGTATATTTTTGTAGAGAGGAGGTTTTGCCACATCGCTCACACTGGTCTTGAACTCCTGGACTCATGCAATCCACCCACCTTAGCCTCCCAAAGTGCTGGGATTACAGGCATGAGCCACTGCGTCTGGCCTTTTTTTTTCTTATACATCTTTTTATTTTCTTTGGAGTTAACAATTGAATACATACTTTAATTTTCCTAATTTTCAGTCTTTTATCATTAATTTAGTCCCAGATTCTCTGCCAGTTGTCTAAATCTCCTCTAACAGAAACGTTCAATATGTTTAAACACATTGGCATTCTATCAACTTCATCTTCTCAAGGAAGTATTTCCTGAATCCTTCTGATCTGCTTTAATCTAGATTTGTTATTCTCTAGGTCGGCTGTGCGGGTGTCATCTGAGAAGCTCCGTCATCCTGGGGATTCATTTTCTCCTGCTTGGATCCCATTCTTCTCCTGTCTTGGCATATTTCTTCGTTCTGGTGGCTGCATCCTCTAGTAGCTTTCTGAAAAAGGGAGGATTGAGTAGTTCATCTTTTGAGAACCTTGCATGTGTAAGAATGATTTTCTTCTGCTCTCTCACAGTTGATGGGATTTGGGCTGAGTAATGACTTCCGGGTTAGAAAAGGCACGCCCCAGAATGTGGCAGTCACTACTTTCATTGCCTTCTGGCTTCCATGTGACTGCTGATCGAGTCCCATTCGGATTCTTGACCTTTGACATAGAAACTGTTTCTTCTCCCTGGAAGTAGGACTTCCCTTTTTCCTCAGTCTTAAAAAATTTCACTGTGATGCACTTTTATCCTGTGTGCAGGGTAATCAGCCCCTGCAGTCACGGAACTCATGTCCTTCAGTTTGGGGAAATGATCTTGAATCGTAATGATAGTGATTTCCTCCCCTACGTTTTCTGCATTCCATCTTTCTTAAACTCTTGTTTGGATGTGGGACGTCTTGAACTGGTCCCCGGATTTCCCTTCACTTTTCTCTCCCGGTTTCCTTGAACTGGCCCGCTGACTTTCCTGGCTTTTCTCTCCCGGTTTCCTTAGTTTTGTCTGTTGGCTCTACTTCATGGGCACTTCGGTCTCTTCACCTTCCAACCTTTCCTTTGAGATTTTTGTTTTGTTGTGATATTTTCATTTTCAAGAGCTTTTTATTTTTATTTATTTATTTTTACTTTTGAGACAGAGTCTTACTCTGTCACCCAAGCTGGAGTGCAAGGGTGAGATCTCAGCTCACTGCAAGCTCCACCTCCTGGGTTCAAGCGATTCTCCTGCCTCAGCCTCCCTAGTAGCTGGGACTACAGGTACCCACCACCACGCCCGGCTAATTTTTGTATTTTTAGTAGAGATGTGGTTTCGCATGTTGGCCAGGCTAGTTTCAAACTCCTGACCTCAGGTGATCTGCCTGCCTCAGCTTCCCAAAGTGCTGGGATTATAGGCATGAGCCACCGTGCCCAACCTCATATTTTTATTTTTTAACTTTTTAGGTTCTGGGGTACATGTGCAGTTTTGTTATAGAGGTAAACTCATCTCATGGGGGTTGGTTGTACACATTACAACTAAGCCCAGCACCCAATAGTTATTTTTTCTGGTCCTCTCCCTCCTCTCACCCTCCCACCTTAGGTAGGCCCCAGGGTCCGTTGTTTCTTCTTTGTGTTCTCGAGTTCTCATCATTTAGCTCCCACTTGTAAGTGAGAACATGCAGTATTTGGTTTTCTGTTCCTGCCTTAGTTTGCTAAGGATAGTGGCCTCCAGCTCCATCCATGTTCCCACAAAAGACATGATCTTGTTCTTTTTATGGCTGCATAGTATTCCATGGTGTATATGTACCATATTTTCTTTTTTATTCTTTTCTTTTTCTCCACCTCCTGGGTTCAAGTGATTCTCCTGCCTCAGCCTCCCGAGTAGCTGGGACTATAGGTGCCTACCACCACACCTGGCTCATTTTTGTATTTTTAGTAGAGATGGGGTTTCACCATATTGGACAGGCTGGTCTGGAACTCCTGACCTTGTGATCCATCCGCCTCGGCCTCCCAAAGTGCTGGGATTACAGGTGTCAGCCACCGTGCCCAGCCCTCTTTTTTTTCTTTTTACCTTATTTATGTTGAAGGACTACACATTTTCTTCATCCAGTCTGTCATTGATGGGCATTTAGGTTGATTGCGTGTCTTTGCTATGGTGAATAGTGCTGCAGTGAACATTTGTGTGTATGTGTCTTTATGGTGGAATGATATTTCTTCCTCTGGGTATATACCCAGTAATGGGATTGCTGGGTCAAATGGTAGTTCTGTTTTTAGCTTTTTGAGGAATCGCCACATTGCTTTCCACAGTGATCGAACTAATTTATACTCCCTTCAAGAGCTTTTAAACATTTTCTCAATATCCTGTTTTTAGTTAATAGTTATCCTGTTCTTTCATGATTGCAATATCTGTTTATTATAAGAGAATGGTGGTTGCACAACTCTGAGTATTCTAAGACCTACTGAATTATACACTTTAAAAGGAGGAACTTTATAGTGTGTGAATTACATACCTTAGTAAAGTTGGTATTAAAAATGTTTTTTGGGCCGGGTGCGGTGGCTCACACCTGTAATCCCAGCACTTTGGGAGGCCGAGGTGGGCAGATCACAAGGTCAAGAGATCAAGACCATCCTGGCCAACATGGTGAAACCCCATCTCTACTAAAAACGCAAAAATTAGCTGGGCGTGGTGGCGCATGCTTGTAATCCCAGCTACTCGGGAGGCTGAGGAAGAATAGCTTGAACTCGGGAGGCGGAGGTTGCAGTAAGCCGAGATCCCACCACTGCACTCCAGTCTGGGCGACAGAGCAAGACTCCGTCTCAAAAAAAAAAAAAAAAAAAAATGATTTTGGCCAGGCGCAGTAGCTCACGCCTTTAATCCCAGCACTTTGGGAGGCCGAGGCAGGCAGATCACTTGAAGCCAGCAGTTCAGGACCAGCCTGGCCAACATGGTGAAACTCCATCTCAACCAAAAAGTGCAAAAAATTAGCCAGGTGTGGTGGTGCATGCCTGTGGTCCCAGCTACTCGGGAGGCTGAGGCAGGAGAATCACTTGAACCTGGGAGGCAGAGGTTGCAGTGAGCCTAGATCACGCAACTGCACTCCAGCTGGGGTGACAGAACTAAACTCTGTGTCAAATTTAAAAAAAAAAAAACAACTTTAGAAAAATATTTCTCTGAAGATATTAATCATCCTTTTGAAGTTCTATTTTCCCTGCATTGTCTGTCTTTTCTCCTAGTTGTCTTTTTTTTTTTTTTTTTTTTTTTTAAGACAGTCTGGCTCTGTCACCCAGGCTGGAGTGCGGTGGCGCCATCTCAGCTCACTGCAACCTCTGCCTCCTGGCTTCAAGCGATTCTTGTGCTGCAGCCTCCTGAGTAGCTGGGATTACATGCACGCGCCACCACACCCAGCTAATTTTTTTGTATTTTTAGTAGAGACGGGGTTTCACCATGTTGGGCAGGCTGGTCTCAAATTCCTGGCCTCAAGTGATCTGCTGGCCTCAGCCTCCCGAAGTGCTGGGATTGCAGACGTGAGCCACCGCATCTGGCCTCTCCTAGTTGCTTTTTCTGAGTTTTATGTTAAGGCTTTACTCAAATGTCCCGGTGGCCTGGGCTGTCCACTCATTAAGGAATGGGGGACTAAAAAGCTGGTTGCTCTTTGTGTCTGGCTTGTCAACTGGTGGACTCACAGCGAGATGAACTGGCTGGCCCTTTCGTTGGGAGATCCCCAGTGTTGGCGGCTATAGGTGCGTTCCCTGAGTTTACCAGGTTCCCCAGAGAATACTTTTCCAGTCATTTGCCTGAAGGGTATGAGGCTATGGGGCTAGCTGCCAGCATTCTGGGAAACCTGGGGGAAGATTGAGTCTTACACATTGAGCAAGTAAACATCAGTGTCCCTATTCTCAGTGTGGTATTCTCACTTTCAGTTGTGCCTGGTATTTTCTAGTCCACACGCCATACTGCTCTCGAGAGAATACACCCCCAGATTTCTGCCAAGATTGGGAAGGGGGATCTGGCTTTTTTTTTAATAGGAAAGTTTTAAACATAAGAAAGTAGAAATAAGAGTAGAATTAGCTAGTTTCAACAATTACCAGCTTAAGGCCAATTTAATTTGTTCTAAACCGCCCCCTGCTTTTTCC